>NC_000005.10:19095699-19398729 GCF_000001405.40 Homo sapiens | reverse complement strand
TGAGAGAAATCTACTTAGTCTCTTTTAGATTTCCCTTTTGTAGAATTTCATTTACACCTGTTTTATATAGTAATCTCACTAATTCTCAAGCTAGCTTGCTTCTTTTATTTGCTGTTAGAACCTCATAATTTTTCTTTCAAGACTATTATCTGGTGATTATTTATTCTTACTCTCCCTGATCACTAGTTCAGTTACCACATGAAGGAAGAGATACATTCAAAGTTTCCTGAAGTAAGAAGCTCTGGGATGCTTCCAGGGTGCAGACCAGGGTATGACTCAAAGCTTGACTTTGCATGGTTTTAGGGTCTTAAATTGAAACTAAATTAGGTTTGACAGTAAAGTTCAAACTTGAATAACTGTAGACTTAAATAATTTTGAAAAGTGACTTTTTTGCAATTAACAGTTCTAAAACGCCCCATGGCATTTATGTCACCCAAGATTTTAATCTAGAATTTGAAACATGGATTGCTGAAAGCTTTGAGAAACATATCAATGTTAAAATCTGAATTCAGGTTTACATACTGTCACATCAATTTTGGCATGAATTTATAACAATGTTATTTAGTAGGTATATATATTAAATTAATAACAAACCATCCATGTTCAAGAACAACCTACGTTATTTCCGTAGTGATTCATGTAAAATAGACCTAGAATATTAAATGGACGGGAAAGATATCAGCAAACGATGTGTTGGGAAACACACCTCATCTAATTGAAACTTATGTATCATTATTAAATCCATAATGTGCTGATAATCTTTGATAAATCTCCAGTGGTCACCAACCCTGAAAAATAATATTGCCCTCAATTGTTCGCATTCCAGTTCTTCTTGGAATGAAGAAAATATATACAAACAAGTGTTATCTTAAGGTATTTGAAGGCAGGAGTAAGGAAAAAAGACTAGATTTAGTGTAAATAGCCCTCTGGAGAAAAGTTATGTGGAAGCAATTTCCAGCTAAAAATCATGAAAACTACTGTAACTAAACATGAGAGATGAAATGGATCACTTACTTAGAAGTTGCCATCCCCAGTTACTCAAAATATGCTGAATTATTACTTCCCAACATCAAAAATGACTGCTCCTTTCCAGAAACAAATAGTGGAAATTCCTTTTCAACATTGATATTGTGTAATACTGTGGTTGGTGATATGTAGAGTTTTTATTTCCTTCTTGCTATATTTTTTTTAATTTTCACAGGAAGGACATAAAGGAATATTTTTTCAAAACAAACCTGAAAATAATGGTGATTGGTAAGAAGAGGATATAAACCTAAAAATATGGCTTGGAGAGCGATTATAAAATTAATTCACTTTTTGCACTTGGATTGGTATTCCTGAATGACACTAAGATGGCATTAAAATAGTCAAATTTCAATTGGTTTATTGTAAAAAAGTTATCAAGAGAAAATTACCCTTGTGGAATATAAATGTTTTAATGAGTTTTACATTGTGATGGGTAAGTTTAGTATTAATGATCTTTTAAAAAGTCTGAATTTGTAAAGATAAGCAAAAAGAATATCAAGGCATGTTCTTGGAAAGTGATACTTCCATATCTGCAATGGCAGCATAAAATCTTCACTTCCTTACGGAGGTTGACTTCCTGCTAGTCTCTGCAACCACTGCTTTTCTTCATGGATAGCTTCTGGTGCTATTATATAAAGATGTTAGACCATCGTCCATGCGCTCCATGGACACCACTTGCTGTTTACCATGAGGTAGGGAGTGAACACTGAGGAAAATAGCAAGAAGCAAAATCGGCATAGTGTTCCCTCTACAGAACCTGACTGACAGATCAAAGACATCTTGGTTTTAATTGGTGGTTGCATTAGTTATTTATTACCGCATAACAAATTATGCCACAATTTAGCAGCTGAAGGCAACGAATATTTACTATGTCAGTTTCTGAGGGTCAGGAATACAAATATTTAACTAGCTCCCTCTGTTTCAAGATATCTTATTTCAGTTAGGCTTTTTGAAGGATATTGTGTTAGGCCATTCCTGCAGTGCTATACATACCTGAGACTGGGTAATTTATAAATAAAATAGGTTTAATTGGTTCAGCGTTCTGCAGGCTGTATAGAAAGCATGGCGCTGGGTATCTGTGGGGCTTCTGGTGAGGCCTCAGGAAGCTTACAGTCATGGCAGAAGGCAAGGCGGTCCTGGCGTATCACACAATGAGAATGGGAGCAAGAGTGAGAGAGAAAGAGAGAGAGAGAGAGAGGTCTCAGACTTTTAAACAACCATATCGCACATGATCTGACTGAGCAAGAACTCACTTATCACCAAGGGGATGGTGCGAAGCCCTTCATGAGAAGTCTGCCTTTATGATTCAATCACCTCCCACCAGTCTCCACCTCCAACACTGGGGACTGCAAACGTTAAACCTATATCACGTATGTAGACAAAACTAAAACCTCAGTTGGGAAAGGATTACCTGCTTCTAACCTCACCCTCATGATTGTCGGCCAGCTTCAATGTCTTGTCCACATGTGCATCAGTATGGGTCTATTTCATGACATGGCAGCTAGATTCCATGTTGTCCCACCCCACAACCTGACAACTGTCTTTGATCAGGGCAGACAATCCAATAGAGGAAAAGAGAGAAATCATGTTTTAAAAGACACATATTTTTGTATTACTGAATCTCAGAACTGACATGGCGTCACTGTTCTTCTATTCTATTGGTTAGAAGCAAGTAAGTAAGTCCAGCCCCCACTCAACGTTACAGGGAGTAGACAAGGCTGAGAATATCAGGAGGCAGGGATTATTGGCATCTGTCCTAGAGCCTGCTCACCACAGTAGCTTGTGCCTTTTAAACTCTGGATTACTATTCAAAGTAGTCAGCGTCTGCATACATAAGTACACACCTTTCCATGTAATCTATGTTTCATTAGCAACAGGTGCTCAGCATTATAATTTCTTCCTCCAGGAGACCATGACCTCACCCCATTGCCGGTGTTCTTCTAAATGCATGTGTTCAAACATATCCTAGTAAGAATGCCTTGTATTGTCATCCTCCGACATCAGGTGATAGGATATCAAAATAGACATTTATACACAAAGATTTATTTCTAATACTAAGAAAATATACTCCATTAAGGTGACTATTTTTTAAATGTCTATCTCTACAAGTTTTCTATTCTCACACAACTGAAATTTGCTTATGTCCAACTTAAATTATCAGGTCCATTCGCTTTACAGAGAAATAAGGGATTTAAAATGTAATGGGGGAGAACAGCTCTCCACATTCTCAGTTTTGCAGCTGATCTCTCTTAATTTGATCCCTAATTCTAAAAACCTAAGTGGTACTTTGCACTTCTTTGTGCGCTACTTCCCATATATGCTGTGTTGGCTTGATACATGTTTTAGATTCCAAATTTTTTCTAGCAGATTTGTTACCTGCTGTGAATTGGTCAATGATGATGTTCTTTCACCTGGATACTTGAGTTCCTATATTTTGCTTTAATGACTGACATATTTTTTTTATTCTACACACACCTTAACAAGTAGACTATTGCCAGATGTTGAACAATATTGCTAATTTGTAGTAAATCTTATCATAGTTTGCATAGCTTTAACACTTTTAATATTTAGTAACTAAAATAACATTGAGAATTTGAGATTACCATTCTATAACTGAGTAAATTAAACTTGAGAATGTTACATGATTTGTCTGTATTGCATGGCTATTCAATGTCAGGACCAATACTTAAAACCAGATTTTGTTTATTGCATTTCTTGAGGTCAATATAAGATTATCATAAAGAATGTTATAGAACTCTCCTGTAAGTAAAGGATGGTTTATAAGTTTGTTTTTTCTTAATAAACTAGGAAGAACTGGGAGGTAACATATTTCAGAGATAATTTGGTTGAAATAAGGTGTCCACAATTATATACCCTGTTTTACTATTAGTAAGCCTACATGTTAACTTTCTGTACTGACAAATGTGATCAACATGGTCTTTGGGTATTTTGCTGATGTTTGGAACGGTGAAACCCTATAAGTGTTCGTAGCACTGTGTCTTGTCACTCTGTGCTAGGAATCTGAGCATGATATCCATTAATGATAGTGCTAGTGAGAATAAAAGCTGAGGCAGGAGTCTCAGGATGAACATTAAGGAGATGCACTAACATGGTGAGCCGCAGGCAATTTAAATTGCACAAATCAACTTAATAAAGTGGGTATTGGAATATGGTATTTAAACAGTGAATGCATCTTTTCAAATGCACACACACTTTTTAAATGGAGAACTTCTTTGTAGGCAAGAGATGATTCTGATTGATTTTCCTTAGGAAAAAAAAAAGCTTTGCACCGCCATTGTCACGTAATGCTCTCATCCCTGAAGCTTCTCATACGTAAAGTAACATTGCCAACATTTCAAATCGCTAATTTTATTTCTTTGATTGTATTCCATTAAAGGAATTGTGGCTGTGAAACATTGCAGAGGGAGATAAAAGACATTCATTTGTTACCTAATATTTTTCTTCTTTTTCTTTTTTTCTCTATGTTATTATTTTCAATAATAAAATATTAGACCTAGACAGTTTCTTAAACAATAACAACCAAAAAAACTCAGTTTAACTCAAGTTGTTTCTATAAAAGTATGATAAGAAAATTTGCTTTTGGTGATCCACTCTGCCAGGAGCCCTACATACATTTTTCTATTTTATTTTATTTTCACAGTAACTTTGCCAAGTAGATATGATTTTACAAGCTAGAAAAGTAAAGATAAAAGTGCTTGAATAATTTGTTTATAGAAAAGGTAATTATTAGTAGGGCTGCAAGTTCAATATCTTTCCTTAATGCTTCCTTATGGTTTATGGGATAATACCAAAAAGATATACAAATGTTAGTGGTGAAAGGCTTAGGCGGGTATCCATGGTTTCAGTTTCGTGGGAGATACGTTGTTTGCTTTATTTCTAGTGGTATTCGTTTTTCAATTATGCATTTATCTCTGAGCAGTGCCAGGAGAAATAACAGGAATTCTAACAAATTAAGAAAACCCTGACATTGGAAACATTTTAGTTTAAAATGGAAACTAATGCCATTCACTACCTTAAAAACCACTTATATTGGCTCATAAGGCTGGCTATAGCTAATGAGATAACAAAAATTAGTAGAGAATAAAATAGGCACATTATATTTGAATGACACTTCAAATTCTCACTTTTTTAAAAAAAAATTTACAAGAGATGTTCTATTCTCTCTGGCTTGGCTTCAAATGATTCTTTCTTTTCTTCTATGTACCCACTTCCTCTACTCTTCCTTAGTACCTCTCATCAATATACCAAGCCCCAGTAATATCAAAGTTGAAAGCTTTCATCATCGCCTGGAGCCGGATTCTGCTCTTCTGTGTTCCTTTTCCATCCTGTCTACACATGCCTTTCCCACCTATCACTTCACCAGTAAAATAGCTGTCTTCTCATGTACCCCCCACTTTCCCCACAATTTTTTTCTTATCAGCATGCAGCCTTGCCTACTTTTCCGTTTTATGGAAATGCTTCTATCTTGGTTTTAGGCTAATCGACTTTTGTTTTATATCCTATGTTCTCTATTTCCCTATAAATTACCCTCCTCATTGTCTTAAATTCCATCATGATCCTGGCTCTACTCTAGTATCAAAATTGCAACAGAAAAAAAATTTGCTGATTACATTGCATCTCATTCAGTCACCCCCGTCTCTCTTCTCTCCGTTAACGCCAAGTTAGAAGGGTGGCATGTACTCACTACATATTCATTCCCCCAGATCACTCCAACCTGACCAACAATTGCCTCCACCACTGCACTGAGGCAATCCTAACTTAGGCCACCAATAACTTCCTCACTGATAAATCTTAATGCTAACTTTTATTTCTTATGTTCATTAAAGTGTCCACCACATTTGACATGATTCTCTCTTCACTATTCTCTCCTCTTGTTTTTCTGTGATTTCGTACCACTTGTATTTTTCTTTTTCCTTGTGCTTCGGTATTCTTTCCCAGTATTCCTGTTTTTCTGAATTGTAATCGCCCTTTCTGTCCCTCTAATGCAATACGGTGTACATCCGGATTATGATTTTAGCGTACTTCTTTTCTTCTTGGATACAAGTATCCTCATTATAAAATCTAATCTGGTGATTTTAAATGCATAAATTAATTATGTACTCATAATTTAGATATATATCTATATATATCTGCGGTTTAGAGCTCTCTGTCTTACTTTGACTGCTTCATGAATATCTTATTTGTAAATTTTACCACTGTTGTGACCAGAATAGACATACTTCCCTATGGTGAAGCCAATTTTCCCTTTGTTTTTTAGTAAGTGATATTACCATCCAAGGCGATGTGCTTAAAGAGAACACTGAGTGTCCTTCCTCTGTGGGTCCTCGAAGCCCTACGCTTTCCTCCAGTAATTCCCAGCACCTTAATTTCTCCCTTTTGTCCCAAGATCTGCATTTTTCCTCAGTTCATGACATCATTTCACTGTGTCATGTTCAACTAATTCCTAAATGAACTCTCTCATTCACCCCATCCCTTTCATTTGCAATACTTTTCAAATAATTGTACTAAGCTAAACATACTTAATTCATTATACATGATTTTTGACCTCCCAGAATGGCATTGAAAATATATATTAATATAAATGGGGTTTATAATTTAAACTTTTTAGGTCACCATTTCTCCTATAAAGTTAATGAAGTATACTATGCTTTCACTATTTTCCCCATCATTTGGTAAGTCTTGATTTTTGTAATGAATCCTTAAACAATACCTAGCATTTGACTAATTTTATAACAACTGGTTGCACTTAAAAGGATACTTTTTATATCCTGTACAAATTGCAAATGTGTAGCCTAAAACTAAAGATGGCATTCTACTACTAAACATGGATGAATCTCATTCTCCTTGAAGGACTGCATGTCTTCTATTATTACTTATATACCTTGTATTATCTGATATTGAATAGGAGATACAGTTATGCCTCAGTATCTACTCAGGATTGGTTCCAGGACTCACATTTATACCAAAATCTGCAGATTCCCAAGTTCCTTATATAAAATGGTGTAGTATTTGCATATAACCTATGCTAATCCTTCTATATACTTTAAATCCTCTCTAGATTACTTATAATATCTAATGGGATCTAAATGTTATTTAAATAGTTATTATACTGTATTTTAAAATTTGCAATACATTGTATTGCATTCAATTGTATTGTTTTATTTTGTTTTTTTTTTCAAACATTTTTTATCTTTGGTTGATTGAATGCCCAGATGGAGAACCCATGGACACAGAGGGCCTACTGCAATTCTCTTCTGCTGCAGTTGATAGTGGTCTAGTATCTAATGGGAATGTAGTTTTGAGCTCAAACATTCTGAGAGAGTCATAGCACCTCTCCTGGAAATCAGTAGCACTGTTCATTGGGTGCTAGGAGAACAATGTTCTTTGTTTATTCTTTGAGTTCTGTGATAAGGTAATGTGCTAAGGGTTAACTGGAATATGGACAAGCATTCAATATAGAAAATTAGTAAGAAAATCTCTCTGATGAGAGTATGTTTGATGCAAAGTTCTTGAATTGTTTTTGAGGGAAATATTACTCTTATAATGTCCATTGTAAAGATGAGAAAACTGTCCAAGGATACAAAAAGTTGTTTTGGGTATCACAGGTTCTTCATAGCTCATTTTAAATTTATAATTAATTTGCCAATGAATAAAAAAAGATACAAAAATGTCTTCTGGAATTTTTGTATGGAATTGAGTTGAATCTACAGATTAATTAAGGGAGAACTGACACCATAGCCATACTGAGTCCCCTCAATATATCTCTACATTCTATTTAGGTCACTAATTTTTTTCACCAATGTTTTGTAATTTTTAGTACAAAGTAGTCATTTTCCATATTTTGTAGGAATTTACTCAAGTATTTCCAATTTTTCTTTTCCTTTTATACATTTTTTTATTTAGATTTGATTACATCTTGCTAAAATTTCTATATAAATTTTGTATTTTCATCTGACAACTTTGTCACACTAATTCCTTACATCTAGTCATCTTTAGAGATGCCATCAGATTTCCTACAACAATGGTTATGTTGTGTGGAAATAAAGACAGTTTCGCTACTTCATATACATTGTGGGGGGCTTTTATTTATTTTTTTGATTATTGTACTGGCTACAATCTCCAGTATGATGTTGATTATAAGTGTAAAGAGAGATGAGAGACACACATCTCTTATTCTTAAATATTTGAAAAGCCTTCACTTTTTCACTGGTAAGTATAATATTAGCTATGGATTTTTATTCTATACAGATGCCTTTTGTCAGGCTGAGGAGGTTTCTTTCTAGTTTTAGTTCACTGAGAGCTTTTTTTTTTTTATCCTGAATGAATGTTAGATTGTGTTAAATGAATCTTCTACAACTAAATAAGTAACCATGTGAGCTTTTGATAATTTTTTAAAATAGTGAATGACATTGATTAATTTTCAGGTGTTATATCAACCTCACATTCCTGTGATAAACTGCGCTTGATCATGATTCTTTATATATTAATGGATTTGATTAAATTTTCAAGATAATTTTTCACCTTTGGTTTCATGAGGAATAATGATGTAAGTATTGAATATATTTGCCTTTGGAAATAATGCTAAAACAAACAAGTATCCTTGAGTGACAGGATAGAATAGCCCCTGGATGCAATGACTCCTAAGAAATGATGCAACTAGTAAAATCAGGAGGGGGAATAGAAAATAAACATGTGTTGCTTGGGTCTGTTAATAGCTAGAAATCAAAGAACATTACTGCATGTTGAAAAATCAAATATTATAATATCAACATATTAAACACTGTAAGGGAAGTTCTATGATAAATAATTTAATTGGAAGAAACATTTGCTCCTTTCTCCTATCAGGAAATAAATATAAAGAGCTTAATCCTAATAGACAAAGGTATTATATAAGTCGTAATTATACAGTTTACTACTGGACAACGAAGCACAAAATGAAAGTTAAAAAATAACATACAAGTATAAAAAGAACCAAGATCAAACATATTGTCATATAAATAAATATAAATATATTTAATACATTGTCAGTACATTTCTGCTGCTATAACAAAATACCACAGATTGGATAATTTATAAATAATAACAATTTATTTCTCACAATTTTAGAGGCTGATGAGTGTCAGGTGAAAGCTCATTACTCATAGGTGTCCTCACAGTAGGAGGTGGAAGGGCAAAAGAGCCAGCTAGCAGGGAGTAGTGGCTCACGCCTGTAATCTCAGCACTTTGGGAGGTCGAGGCAGGTGGATCACCTGAGGTCTGGAGTTTGAGACCAGCTGACCAACATGGTGAAAACCCGTCTCTACTAAAAATACAAAAAATCGGCTGGGCTTGGTGGCGCATGGCTGTAATCCCAGCTACTTGGGAGGCTGAGGTAGGAGAATCCCTTGAACCCGGGAGGCAGAGGTTGCAGCAGTGAGCCGAGATCACGCCACTGCACTCCAGCCTGGGCAAAAAGAGCACAAAAAAAAAAAAAAAAAAAAAAAAAGAGCCAGCTCTGCCCTCATGATCTAATCACCCCCAAAAGGCCTCCCTTCTCAGTGCTATCAAATTGTGGTTTCAGTTCCAACACATGAATTTTGGGGCACATATTCAGACCAGAGCACCTACAAAATTTAGGTTCAGATTTGAATAAGACAAATCTTAAATCTCGTCCTATATAAAAGTGGGCCTAAGACAAACTAACATCAAATTTGAAAATAAAAGTATGAGCAATGGTATATTAAATATGAACAACATTATATTGTAAAACTGCAGATTAAAAAAAGGAGGAGTAGCAATTTTCCTATCAAGGTGGATGTAAAACATAAAGCTTAAGACAAAGAAGACTTATAACATTGATATTGTGCAGCATATTCAAACAATGAACCACTAAATTTGCTTCTAAGACAGAATAAGGAAGATCTCTATGCAACGTTTTTGAAATAGCTCCCAGATATAATTTTAAGGGAAAAACACGTTGGGGAACTGTATGCCTAGCAGGCTATCTTTTCTCAATTTCAGTAAATCCACTATCATATTCTTATTCGGAGATGAATATAAAACTATTTTATAAATCTTAAATTTAGATTTATAATTGATTATTTAAATGTATAATTATAATATGTTATTTTATTGTATTATATTATTATCATTATTTTTTGAGACGGAGTCTCACTCTGTCACCCAGGCTGGACTGCAGTGGTGCAGTCTTGGCTCACTGCAACTTCTGCCTCCTGGGTTCTAGCGATTTTCCTGCCTCAGCCTCCCGTGTAGCTGGGACTACAGGCACGTGGCACTATGCCTGGCTAATTTTTTTGTATGTTGAGAAGCGATGGGGTTTCGCCATGTTGGTCTGACTGGTCTTGAATTCCTGACATCAGGTGATCTGCCCACCTCAGCCTCCCAAAGTGTAATATTTTAGTTTTTAAGAATATACTTTTTAAAATAAATATTTAGTTCAGATTAAAGCATGACTTGAAATCATTAAGTACATAAAGCGTGACATGTGCACCCAAGTACATAAATATGTCACAGTTTAAATTGAACTTCAGTATATGAGACTGAGAACATTTTTCTTTCAGATAAATACAATGCTGTGATTTGATACTTTAAAAAAGAAGAACTAGAATTTTGCTTTGAATTTCCAGTTATGTTGTTACGAAAGAAATATTCTTTTGTATTTAGTGCTTTGTACTGTCATGATAATAGTTCCCACTCAGTGATTCCAGGCTGAAGGTTTAGTACATAAAGCATATTAAGTACATATTTAGTACATAAAGCCTTTCTTCTACATGATTAACTTCTATTTTTACTTTTCTTATTTTCTTATCTTTTAATTTAGATTCAGGGAGTACATGTGCAGGTTTGTTACCTGGGTATATTGCATGATGCTGAGGTTTGGGGTACAAACGATCTCATCACCTAGCTACTGAGCAGAGTACCCAATAGACATTATCAGCTTTTAACTCATTACAAAATTATATGTGCTGAATAATTATGTCTTATTGAATTAAAGAAAATATTTACTTTCGGCCAGGCACAGTGGCTTATGCCTGTAATCCTAGCACTTTGGGAGTCTGAGGCAGGTGGATCACAAGGTCAGGAGTTCAAGGCCAGCCTGGCCAAGATGGTGAAACCTTGTCTCTACTTACAAAAATTAGCCAGGCATGGTGACAGGCACCTGTAATCCCGGCTACTCAAGAGGCTGAAGCATAGAATTGCTTGAACCCAGGAGACTGAGGTTGCAGTGAGCCAAGATTGCGCCACTGCACTCCAGCCTGGATGACAGAGCGAGACTCCATCTTAAAAAAAAAAAAAAAAAAAGAAAGAAAGAAAGAAAATAATGTTTACTTTCAAATATGTTAAAAATAACTCTAAAGCAAAGAAAGATTTGGTATCTTTATATTGTTGGATGTTTGGCATTACATGTATTTCTTCAAGTAATTATTCAATGTACTACATTACTTATGTTACCATTTAATTGTTAAATGTTTATTATTTATGCTACTATAGCCAGAATTAGAAGATATTAATAGGTTTATGTGTATGTTTAGAAAATGGAGGTCAAAATGACTACAAAATCCAGAAATAGTCACATCTTTTAAACATTTAGCCTTCATCTTTTATTTGGTTTCTTTTGCATTCAATGCTTCAATTATGTTGGGATAAAAATTGATAGGATGGCCTTCCTCTAATTTCACTTTATTCAAAACATCTTAATGTGAATGAATAAAAAAGATTAATTTATTTATAAAATCCAATTTGCCACACTGTAGTAGATTCCAGGAAATATCAGAGACTTGAGTGTCATTTAAAAGGCTGTGTAATTTGCATCCAGCAACAGTTGAATAAATTTAGAGTAGTAAAATATTATGAATATATATATGTGGGTGGGTGTGTATATATGTGAGTGTATCAGATGCACTTCTCTTGAGCACGTTATCCATATTTTTCTCACCCTGCTTTCTTCTGAATTCTAGCTTGTCGAATTCAAACTAGATTCAAAAACCTCCTACTCTTTCTCAAATTTTCCCCTCCATTTCTCCCTCCTCCTTTTCTTCCTCTTGCTCTAAGCACTAGCCAATAGGTTGGAATCAAATAGTGAGCAAGATGTTGATCATCCTTGCCATTATGACTCCATTTTATCAGGATTAAGTATAGGAATTGATCCATATCAATGCACACATGAGTATGTGTGTCCCTGTGTGTATGTACATGTGCTCATGCTTGTATGTCTGTGTATGAAGAGACAGAGAGCGAGTGGGGAAAGAGAGAGGAAGAGAACGGGAAAGAAAGAGGGAAATAGAGAGAGATTTGAAGATCAGAAATTATTTATTTTGATTTTCTTTTTGTATGATATAACACATGAAGTAAAAAGTAATTTTGCAAAAGCTTTATCTCCCACTAAAAACAAGTTATTTAAATAATGCTAATATTTTATTTTTCTTATAGGAAGTGAATAGGTGTAAAGCACTTATAAAGATATAATATTACTGATTTCAATACAGAAATGTTTCTCCTTTAATTTTGGAGTACATTAAAAATGTGAAGGTATGCTCATGTTCAATGCATATTTGGCAACATAAACTGTATATGCTTTAAAGTAGTTCCATGAAATACGATGTAATTGAAATAGAAAAATGTGCATATGAAATATGACATTTTCTATGACTGAGTGAAAAAATGAGTCATTACATGATTACAAGTTAAAATACTTTCATTAAAGCAGAATTATAGCCTAAATCCAAAATTTAAAAAGTAGTTTGGATTATTTAAGTTGTTATTCTGCTGTAATAAACAAGCTCAAGATATCAGTATCTTAAAAAATATATGCATATACATTTTTTTTCTCTGCTTACACATGTCCAATGAGATTAGCTTAGGTTGCTCTGTTCTACCCATTTCTTCCTACAGGACCAAGTCTCAGAGGGCATAACACTCCACGCACCCATGATTTCCTAGGCAGGAAAATGAAACCATGGAAACTCAAAGATGGCTCCTCAAGCTTCCATCTGGAGAACATAAGTTGGCCCTACATATCCATGAGTTATGCATCACGGATTCAACCAACTGCAGATTGAAAATATTAGGCAAAAAAATCACAATAAAACATAACAATACAACAATTAAAAATAACAAAAATGAAATATACAGCATATTATTTACATCACATTTACATTGTATTAGATATTTTACATCAGAGACTTGAGCAAACACAGACTGGTCTCCATAGCGATCCTGTAACCCATACCCCGTGGAAACCAAGTGACTACTGCAGTGCTTCTGCTAACATCTTATTTGTTTGCGCAAATTTCATGGTCCCACTAAACTTCAAAAGTGAAGGGAAGTGAAATATGACCCTGAAAAATGGAAATCCTGAAATATCATCGAAGAACACAAATTACTATTAGAGTAATAGTATCAATTCAAGCCTTGGAGTATCAAAAAGTCAATTCGTGGATGCGGCACATGCCAACAGTAGTTGGTATGAAAAATCAAGCTTAAGATAGCTCAACAATGTGAGACATGAGCTGACGAATGGTCACGTGTCCTGAACGCACGAGTACCCTATCATAATGAGAAGTCATAGTCTCCTTTTCTCAGGGCCACCAGTGCCCTCTCCCAGCTCTATCAGCTGTGGGCCAGGAGTCTTAAGGTTGAATGATCAGTCCATTAGGGTTCTGAGTCCAACTCACCATATCACACTTGGATAGAAATACAAGAGCGGGACATTCTTTATTTAGGCTTAGTCTTGACCTTTTTTTTTTTTTTTTTTTTTGAGACAGTCTCTCTTTGTGGCCCAGGCTACAGTGCAGTGGCGCAATCTCGGCTCACTGCAAGCTCTGCCTCCCAGGTTCACGCCATTCTCCTGCCTCAGCCTCCCGAGTAGCTGGGACTACAGGTGTCCGCCACCATGCCCGGCTAATTTTTTGTACTTTTAGTAGAGACAGGGTTTCACCGTGTTAGCCAGGATGGTCTCGATCTCCTGACCTCGTGATCTGCCCACCTCAGCCTCCCAAAGTGCTGGGATTACATAGACTTGACATTTTAAAACCTGTATTTGTGCTGTCGGTATGCTGTAAATTTGTCTATGCAGGAGCCTCTGATGTGATTTTGTATTTGAATGCCAGTTATTAGCCTGGAGGGCAAATTCATGCCAGAATCCCAGCCTGGACTTACAAGCTTCTGAAATCTCACAGCATTTGCTAAATCCCTTTCCTTAGTGCATTGTCCCTGAACTCAAACCTTAGCAACAGGCATAGATATTACTTCAAATTGCATCCACCCCTAAAAATTGCTTTATAATTTTCAATATTCAATCATCAACTGTCGATAAAACATCTTATGCCATTAAATATGATCTGTCCAGCTTGTGGAGATAATGTTCATATTGTGTTTCAAGTTAATATTATTTTAGTAAACTAACATTGTTTTGGCTATCTTCCATGGGAACCCATTCTTTCAGGCCTGTTTTTCCCTCCCAGATCCCGACCTGTCTATTACTCCAGCTTATTACCTGTATTAGTTTCCTGTGGGTGCTGTAAACAAATTCCTGGCTTGAAATAGCAGAAATTTATTCTCTCCCAGTTCTGGAGTATCACTGAGAAGAAATGAAGGTGTTGGAGAGTTTGGGCAGGCTCTCCAGAGCTATAGGATAGAATCCACTTGTTTGTTTTTTCCAACATCTGAAGCTACTTTCTTTGTGCTCCTTGGCCTCTTTCCGTAACTTCAAAGCCAGTATATACTAGTCTTCTTGGGCTGCCATAACAAAATAATAGAGGTTGGGTGGCTTAAATAATGGAAATTTATTGTCTCACAATTCCGAAGTCCAAATATAAAGATCAAGATGTTAGCAGGTGTGATTTCATTTGAGGCCTGTCCTTGACCTCTACATAATTAGTTGCCCTCTCATTTTATTCTCACTTGGCTGTTCCTCGGGGCATGCACCTGTCAAACCTCTCTCTCCTTATGCCCTAACCTCTCTTATAAAGATGCCACACATATTAAATTAGGGCTCACTTTAACAAACCCATTATAACCTAATTAATCTTTAAAGCTTCAATCTCCAAATACAGTCACTTGCTGAGGTTCTTGGAGTTAGGACTTCAACAAATAAATTTGACAGAGCAAGGCAGAATCTGGTTCATCATTCTGTGGCATAGCATCTCCTCTCCCTCGCTCTGCTTCTTTCGATTTCTGTCACATGGCTTCATTCTATGCTTCAGTCAAATATCAATTTACCTCCTTTCTATAAGAGTGCTTGAGGTTTTAGTTAAGGCACTCCTGTATAATCCAGGAGAATCTCCCTCATCTTCAAATCCTCAATTTAATATAATAGCATTTGCAAAGTTATTTTTTTCCATATAAGGTAACATTAACAGTTTGGAGGGATTGGGCTGTGAATATCTTTTAAAGAGTTATTATTCAGCTTCTCACACACCTATCCTCCACTCTCCCAAACTTGAGGTTGTCTTGAGGACCATGCATAGTTTAAAGACTCATTGCACTTCCAAATCTGAGCATCATAGTTTTAATAAAACATAAAATACATAAAGGTGAAGATATATATGGTATTTCTGAGGATCAATATTGTACTCTTAAACATGTTGCATGAGACACAGATAAACACATTTAGTCCTTTTAAGGAATTCTTAGATAAAAAAGTGAAAACTTGAAATATACTGCAATACAGTAATATTCAACTAAGGGAACAAATGAACTTCACATGTATTTAAAGAGATGAATTAGGACAAATGGAAAAATTTAAAAAGGAGGAAGATACCTTAACATTAGATATCTTTAAATGCTCTTTAACATTAGAAATGTATGCTTCTTGAAATCATACCTCCTGATAATTATATTATCTTAAAGGAAAACCTGGTGCTTAAACGTCAAAGATAATATAAAAGTTTTCACTGATATGGGAGAATGGTCTGCCCTAATGATTGATAAGATTCATTCCAATTCTAATAGTCTATAAATATTGTCATCCCATATAATTCCTTTAGTCAGGAGATATATATAT
Organism: Homo sapiens; assembly: GCF_000001405.40. Lineage (NCBI taxonomy): Eukaryota > Metazoa > Chordata > Mammalia > Primates > Hominidae > Homo > Homo sapiens. The sequence goes on along the minus strand of NC_000005.10, from coordinate 19,382,678 downwards.
ATATATATATATATATATATATATATATACACACACACACACAAAACACAAACACAAACAACACATACATACACACATATACACACACGTATACACAAACAACATATATTTAGAAGCAGCTTTTATTACATTAAAATAATCCAATCAGTTTTCCCTTTGATCATCCAAAGTATGCATTAACCTAACACAATGAGAAACAGAAGATATTACCTACTTTGTTTTCATTCTTAATTATCCAATAAGTGTTTGTTTACTGTACTTAACTTGAATTATAGAAGGGATATAGAAAGTATCCTGGATAATATCCTAAAGCAATACCTCTGTGCTGCAAAAAGAGTTAAAATATTTGACCACAAAATTATGTTATTTCTCTAGTACAAATATTCAGAGAAGTTTGACTACGGTAACTCCTGGTTAACATTTGAATATAAACTCTTTAATAGGCCCTCCTCCAGCTTCATTTTTATTGAAATGACAATAAGCATGTAGGAAATAAAGTAACATCAGCATTGCAAATCAGACAAAGAATGGTATACTCTTACACATCAGAAATGTGTTAGTGAAGGTCAAAATTAGAAAGAACAGGTTTTACTGTTAGTGAAGGTGAAGATCTTTCTGTGAATTAAAAGAAATACCCATGAAGCAGAAACTCACAAACATCTCCAACTTCTAAGTCTCAACATTTGGATACAAAGGTTTGCCAGAAATGATGGGGAGTAGGATCACAATTTCAAGAAAACCACTGGACAGATACATATGTGCTGAGAGCAGCCTATTGCTGTGTTCAGTCTGAGTTTACCACTGACGTGGAAGATGAACTTGGTCATGTTGGAAGTTTCCAATGAAAGCAGCCATGAAATTTGAAAAAGGGGCCCTCCACGAACATTTGATTTCAACAAGTCTACAAAGAATTCCTCCTTCAGGGCGTTTACTCTCTGAAGATCCTCAGGCTCCAGCTCCAGCTCCCTCTCTCTCTACCTATGGTATGGATCCAACACTCTGATCTGGCCATGTAGCTCTCCAATATTAAAATAATTTAAAACTTCTCTATAAAATTTTGTTTATACGTTCCTGGATTCTATTTGTATAGGTTTAATACCTTCAACAAGATATTAATTACCTTTCAAGCACTGGGGCAGAATTGATATATGGACTTCTACAATTGTGTTCATTGTATTGAAAAATGTTAAGACTCAAAGGAGTGCTACAATGAAATCCTTCCATCCTCTCTGAAGACATAAACACATTACAAATTTGTTTTCAATTTTTACCTAGCTTTGAAAGTATAATCTGAAACTGCATTGAAATAGCAGAAATGCACAAAAATTATGTGGTGTTTGATCATGTATAGTAAAACTTTTCAATTGTCAATGTCAATTTTTAGTCTTGTCAATGTACGCATTCTATTTTTTTAATTTATTATTTTTTATTGGTAGAAATACAAGGTCTACAAATGCAGTTTTGTTACATAAATATACTAAGCAGTGGTGACATCTTGAGATTTTAGTATAACTACCATCCAAATAATGTACATTGTACTGGTTAAGTAATTTATCATCCCTCACCCCACTCCCACCCTCTTACCCTTTTGAGTCTCCAGTGTCTATTATTCTACACCCCATGTCCGTGCATACATATTATTTAGCTCACACTTATAGCTAGAAACATGAGATATTTGTCTTTCTGTTTCCTAGTTGTTTCACTTAAGAAAATGGCCTACAGTTACATCCATGTTTCTAAAAAATATATTATTTAATTCTTTTTTTATGGGTAAATAGTATCCCACTGTGTGTGTGCGTGTGTGTCTGTGTGTTTGTGTTATATACATATATGTGTATATATATCATATTTTCTTTTTTAAATTATTTTTAACTTGTATTTTAATTTCAGGGGTACATATACAGGTTTGTTACATAGGTAAACTTGTGTCATAGGGGTTTGTTGTACAGATTATTTTGTCACCCAGGTATTAATCCTAGTACCTGTTAGTTATTTTCCCTGGTCCTCTCCCTCCTCCCACCCTTCACCCTACAAAAGTCCAAAAGGCCTCAGTGTGTGTGTTCTCCTCTATGTGTCCATGTTTTCTCATCATTTAGCTCCTACTTATAAGTGAGAACATGTGGTATTAGGTTCTCTGTTTCTGTGTTAGCTTGCTACAGATAATGGCCTCCGGCTATATCCATGTCCCTGCAAAGGACATGATATCATTCTTTTTAGTGGGTGCATAGTATTCCCTGGTGTATATGTACCACATTTTTTTTAATCCAGTCTATCATTGATGGGCATGTAGGTTGACTCTATGTCTTTGCTATTGCAAATAATGCTGCATTGAACATGCACATGCATGTGTTTTTACATGCAGCCAACAATCATATGAAAAAAGCTCAACATCACTGATCATTAGAGGAATGCAAATCAAAACCACAATGAGATACTCTCTCACACCAGTCAGAATGGCTATTAGTGAAAAGTAAAAAAACAGCCAGGCATGGTGGCTCACGCCTGTAATCCCAGCACTTTGGGAGGTCGAGGTGGGCAGATCATGAGGCCAGGAGTTCGAGACCAGCCTGACCAACGTGGTGAAACTTCGTCTCTACTAAAAATAAAACAAAAATTAAAAAAAAAATTAACCGGGCATGGTGGCACATGCCTGTAATCCCAGCTACTTAGGAGGCTGAGGCAGGAGAATCACTTGAACTTGGGAGGCAAAGGTTGCAGTGAACAGAGATTGCACCACTGCACTCCAGGCTGGGTGACAGAGTGAGACTCTGTGTCAAAAAAAAAAAAAAAAAAAAAGTTAAAAAACAACAGATGCTGGCAAGGTTTTGGAGAAAAAGGAACGATTATACACTGTTGATGGGAGTGTAAGTTAGTTCAACCATTGTGGAAGACAGTATAGAGATTCCTCAAAGACCTAAAGAAAGACATACCATTCAACCCAGCAATCCCATTATTGGGTATATACCCAAAGTAATATAAATCGTTCTATTACTAAGACACATTTTCTTTATCCAATCATCCATTAATGGTCACTTAGGTTAATTCCATATCTTCACCATTGTAAATAATGATGCAATAAACATACAAGTACAGGTATCTTTTTGATATAATGATTTCTTTTCTTCTGGGTAGATACCCAGTGGTGGGATTGCTACATTGAAGGGTAATTATATTTCTAGTTATTTGAGAAATCTTCATTTCTCAAATATAAAGGAATATAAATCATTCTATTACTAAGACACATTTTCTTTATCCAATCATCCATTAATGGTCACTTAGGTTAATTCCATATCTTTACCATTGTAAATAATGATGCAATAAACATACAAGTACAGGTATCTTTTTGATATAATGATTTCTTTTCTTCTGGGTAGATACCTAGTGGTGGGATTGCTACATTGAAGGGTAATTATATTTCTAGTTATTTGAGAAATCTTCATACTGTTTTTCATAGAGGTTGTACTAATTTACATAGGGAATAAGTGTTCTCTATTCTCTGCATTCTCACCAATACCTGTTTGTTTGTTTGTTTTCATTTTAGTAATAGCCATTTAGACCAGTGTAAAATGATATCTCATTGTGATTTTAATTTGCATTTCTCTAATAATTAGTGATATTGAGCATCTCTTCATATGCTTTTTGGCCATTTGTATGTCTTTTGAAAAATGTCTATTCTTGTCCTTTGGCCACTTTATAATGGGTTTTTTGTTCTTATTTTTATTTTGTTATTCTGAAGTTGAATGAGTTTCTTATAAATTAATTGTATATTCGTTGTGTTGATTATTTTTCTTTCTATGCAGAAGCTTTTTTGTTTAATAATGCTCTATTTGTCTTATTGTTTTGTTGCTTGTGTTTAGATTATACATATATATAAAATATTAAATACTTGCATAGTATTTTTCTTTAAAATGCACCATTTGTTATTTAACCATTTTTTCTATTGATAGATATTACAGAAGTTCCCAGTTTTCTGGTGTTATGAAAGACTCAAAAATCATCATATTATTTTATAAAATAATTATTTTATCTCTAGATGCTTATATAAAGTAAGATTTTTAACTAAATAATATACTTTATAAAAATAAAAATAAACTATTATTTGTTATTTATATATATTCTGTCTATATAAAATATATTTATTTTAATTCCTATTATCAAATTGCTTTAAAATTACTCTACCAGTGCACATTTTTAACAACAATGTATTACAATGTCATAGTCCTTACATTCCTGAAAACACTGGGTGTTACATATTTAATTTTTTCTTATGACAAGAAATATATTTCATTGTTATTTTTGTTCAATTTCTTGAACAACCTCTAACACTGATTATTTTCCCTTCAAGCTATGGCAGCTTGCAGATCTCGTTTAGATAGATTCTTCTGTGAATTCACATCATGCCAAAGTTTTTTGTTGTTGTTTTTTGTTTTGTTTTTGTTTTGTTTTTTTTTAACTGAACTTGGTCTTTTTCTTACTAAATAGTGGCAGATGCTTGGGCAATATAAATATCACAAATTTATCTTTGTTAAACATTTGCTAATCTTTTTGTTTTAAAGCTGTGTAATGGTATAATTTTAAATTAAAAATGTAAAATCTGGATAGTCAAATATTATATATTGTGTATTGCTTCTGCATTTCCTGTCTTTTTCTAAGTGTCATTATTCCTAATGTGTGCATTTATCTCACTAGCATTTACTGACTTTTGATTCTTTTAAAATACTTTACCTTTATATAATTTACATTCTTTTCCCATAATATAAAGTTAAATTCTAAATGTATTTTTCCAAATGCATAGCATATTTTTTCAGCAACAATACTATTTCCATAGAAATGAAATACCTCTCTGTCATAGCTTAAATTCCTATACAAACTAGGATATAATTTTGCATTATTCATTTAGCTTCCAGAAATTATTTTCTATTGCTATTAAAGTCCTATACTGTTATGTTAAAATGGTTTAAAGTTATGGTTTACTATTTGACGACAAAAACTCTTTTTAACTATTCTGCCCTTTCAGTATTTTTCTATATTCTTTACCATTTATAACATTATTTACTACAAGGCAGTAAAATTATGTTACCTAGTGAAAAAAAATCATAAATTTCCAGGAATGTATATTCAAAACAAATGTGTTCATCCTAACTTCTCAATCATTGAACAAATATTTCTTCTTTTTTATCTATGAATTAAAACAAAGATATGTTTTAAATAGCCACTAAAAATATACTTTACAATCTCTGTCTGCATTTTTAAATACTGAATAAATTTTTCATGAATTCTAGAGTAGGACCAATAGATATTTTAACCATTAGCTAATACATTGTATGGACTCACAAACCATTTATAAGACCATCCTTTACAAAATTTTGCCACACCTATCAATCTGTCATTTGTTGAATCAAAGATGGTGATTTAATTCCATCATTCTCTACTTCGTACTGCTTTGTCCATTGTCAATGATTTTTCAGAAATCATCTGTCCCACCAGTTTATAGTTCCTATTATAATACCCCTAAGATCTTTGAAGGCCCCTCTCTGGAAGAGAATACAATTATTTACCCCCTACATTGGGATTGAAATCGGGACACCAAGAGATACAGACCAAGCAAGTGGATTTCACAAATCTACTCTTCTCTTTCAGCAGCTGTTCTTAATAATCTCCAGACATTTTCTGCACTCCTTCAGTGTTTTGTCTAAGGGAGAAAAGGGATTTTTGTTTGTCTTTTATTTTTCATTTGCTTTTAATTTTTTGAAAGTTCTTGAGACTGAGAGCTAACACTTAGCAATGATCAAGGTGATATTAGAAAAAAAGCTAATAGAAAATTAATTTTCAAACCAGCAACTAAGTCCCTTGAGAGAATATGGGGTGACCATTCCCACAGTTTGAGAATATTTTTGGCCATGTTATTGTATGGTGGCATCAGTTTGAAATTCATGAAGATAATCATTTACAATTTAAAATGTAATTTACAATTACATCACACCTTTGAAAATACATAGATATGTATTTTTGCAACCCACAAGTATGAAAAAGAGCAAAAAAAAAAGATGCTCCTTGCAAAACAAAATAATACAAAACTTAAAAAACAAAGAACTTTAGGTAATATCCTTCAGTCCCTCAGAAGGGATATGGAGAGCAACAGTGTGCTGGGCATACCTTGTTCAAAAACAATCATTGTTGAGGCAAAGCGAAACTGACAATAAAATAGTAGCAACTCATTTAACTACAGGGAGTATATTAAATTTACACCCACATGCCAAGTAAGATTGCTTAGTAAACTCATCCACTCATCACGTATCAGTTACAGTGATATGTTAATATCATAAATTGTCAATAATTACTACAATGGCCTCTTGACATTAGAACTAGAAAGGGACTTCAGTAGAGTCCTGAGAGTTGGTACTTAAGACTTAAATTCTTATTTTTGCAACTCATTGCTCTAACCATTTTAACTGTTAGTGATACTAGGCAGAAAGGAGACCCCTGAAAGTAGAGGATCAGCAGATCATTGGCAGTAGTCATGATTTACCAGTCTCACTTGTTCCTGTGAAAAGGAGAAATCAGTATGTAGTGTCGTTACAGATCTCAGGCCCTATGGATTTCCCATACGAATTACCTTAGGGTTAGAAAGATTATATTTTATCCATGAACAATTAGGACAACTGTGAACAAAGAATGCTAAGTTCAACAAATATATTAACTACAAGGTTTATTCACAGATGTTGTCCCGTTCATTGCATATCTGTTCAACCACATCCAGTCACTCTAAGAGTACACCACACACAGCCACTCACAAAAAATACACAGGAGGCTGCTGGACTCACAAGTTGCAATTCTGTCACTCATGTTGCATTTATTCCTTTATATGGAGAATATAATTTCTTTTATTAATTTAAAAATGGAGATACAAATTAGAGTTGAATAGTCTCCCTTTCTGTCGACTCTACATTTACCACATTGTACATTTTATTATGTATTTTGTTATCTGCATAACCATAACCCTATGCTTGCTTTCACTTTTACTCCACAATATAAAGATACCGCTATTATTTTGATTATCTCCAGGTGGAGTAAAGAGACAGAAAATAATATTTCTTGAAGAGGAGTTTTCACATTTCTCCCTATCACTTTTACTAATACATATGGTAAAATGTCTGGATCCTTAGGTCAAATACACTGTTAATTGTTTGCTTTGTCATATGAGACATTTGCAAAGTTTTACCTTGGAAAAGTGCAGTAGGAAAAATCACCCTCAGTCTCTAATTTTAGTTCTGACCCCTTTTTTTTATTATACTTTAAGTTTTAGGGTACATGTGCACAACGTGCAGGTTAGTTACATATGTATACATGTGCCATGTTGGTGTGCTGCACCCATTAACTCGTCATTTAACATTAGGTATATCTCCTAAAGCTATCCCTCCCCGCTCCCCACACCCCACAACAGGCCCCAGTGTGTGATGTTCCCCTTCCTGTGTCCATGTGTTCTCACTGTTCATCCCTGCTCCCTTCCCTCCGCCCTGGTTTCTCATTACGTTTCTTCTACACTCAGTGTTCCTGGGACTTTTTCCTCTCCTTCCCCCCTATAACAATTGCTCTAGGGAAATTAAATGAAAAAGAACATAATTCCTTTTCAGGACAGACATTTGCAGAAGAGCTGCATGTCAAAGAACCTGGAGCCCAGGGGTGCAGGATAAAAGAACATATTTAAAGTTGAACATGATCTGAAGAGTTAAATTTTAAAAAGTGCTTGCCTCTTCCCAACTAAATGGAATAAAGTATGATTTCCCAAGCTGTGGGAAAATATTCTGAATAGAAACATTTAATTTTCATTTTTCTCTCTCTTAAGTCTTACTTTTTAAAAAGGTCACAATGTCTTTATAATATATAATAGGCCGATTTTCAGTCTTTAAAATTAGTAGGTTTTTTTTTTTTTTTTTTGTCAAGTGTACAATACTAGCTTAATCAGAATGACCATACGATATGTTACATTAGGTTATTTTGGAGCCACTAAAGAAAGTGGAGAATAATAACATATATGTCTGATTTAAATTAACCCCAAACAGGTATATCTTCCAAGTCCGATCTTCCTTGTTTACATTCAGTTCTCTGTGGGTATTTCAAATAAAATATTTCTAAAATAACTTCATCTGGACATCATCTCTCCATCTTTTTTCTTCTCTTTACCTTAAAGCTCATTCACAAGTCAGCATTATGTAATTTTATTTTCTTACTCTGTCAAAAGCTATTATGGGTATTTCATAAGTAATTAATTTCTTATTAAGGCAGAACATTAGATTCACTCATTAAGATCAACAAAACCACTTTAAATAATGTGGAACACAGACTAAATAAAACCTGCAGATGTCTAGCAGAGAAGAGAGGTGACAGAGGAAGACAAATTCATGTGCTCTCACCCAGTGCTTTCTCATTTGGATGTTATTATTAGACATCAAATATTCTGAATGCTTTGAAATACAATAGTTGATAATATTCTTCCTACCTCAAATTGAGTACTGAATAGTTCTTTCCAATGCTAACCTTAGATTTCTGTATTTTTTGATGTTTAGTATTACTCCATAAAGTTTATAAGCAGTTCCACTAATAGGCATATCGACATGGGATCATTTTATAAGATCTGCCAAGTGAGGTGGCAGAGAAGAGACGATGCGAAGTTGTGTCCTTCACAGCATTTATGTACCTATAAATATTCCGAAATATCTCCTCGAAAGTTCATTCAGAGGGGGTGGTTGTAACTTGTTTACAACAATCTTGCACACACCTTGATAAATAGAACTAGCAGATGAACCAAATGGGGAATCAAATCCTTCTAGAAACTATTAAATTACAGCAAAGGACTTATTATAGTGCATCTAATCTCTATTTGAAAATTGTCATTTCTCTAAAGCATAGCCATAAACCAAATTAACTTGAAACGATCCTCCAAATGAGAAGCTGTGTGTGTGTGTTTATGCCTAATAAATGTCTTCAGCTCTGGATGAAAACGCCCACCTGAGCAAACTCATTTCCACCTCTGCCTCTTCATGTAAGTTAATTATGTAAGTAGGGTAAAACCTTACAAACTGTTATGATAAGAATATTTACCTAAGTGAACATCACATCTTTTAAATTTCTACCATCTTCTAATTTCCTGTTGTTCATGTGCAAATGTAAATCCTGCTAATCATGTCTTTCAACTCATGCAATTTTTAAAATTTTATACAACTATTCCTTGATGCATTAGACAAAATTTGCAACTTTGTTTTCAATTTTAAAATCTTTTTTCATTGTTAGGCAATGCAAAATTGATGCATACATATTATAAAATTTACACAATTCAGAATCCTATTGAGAAGAAAATCTAAAACTCCTCTTTTCCTACCAATTGAAGGTACCTCCTCTTATTGTGTTTTTCTTTTGAGTCATGAAATTTTCCTGTGATTTTCTCTGCCAATATTCCCTACTCCTTCTTTCTCTTGCTCTCTCATTTTTCTCTTTTACATATTTTTCTCTTATAATGTGTCTTAGACATTTTTTAATTCATTATTGCAGATTCATTGTGAGTGTTCCCCTCCCCTCCAGACTCTACACTTACACATTGTACTAATCAGGGTTCTCTACAGGGACAGAAATAATAGAATTGATGTATAAATGTAGGGGCGTTTATTAAGGAGTATTGACTCACATGATCACAAAGTGAAGTCCCACAGTAGTCCATCTGCAAGATGAGAAGCAAGAAAGCCAGTCAGAGTCCCAAAACCTCAAAAGTAGGGAAGCCAACAGTGCCGCTGTTAGTTTGTGGCTGAAGGGCTGAGAGCCCCTGAAACACCACTGGTGTAGGCTGAAGAGTCCAAAAGCTGAAGAACTCAGAGCTCGATGTCTGAGGACAGGAAGCATCCAACACGGACACGGGAGAAAGATGAAGCCTGGAAGACTCAGCCAGTCTGGTCCTTCCACTTTCCTCTGCCTGCTTTTATTCCAGCTGCATTGGCAGCTGATTAGATGGTGCCCACCCAGATTGAGGATAGGTCTGCCTCTCCCAGTCCACTGACACAAACGTTAATCTCCTTTGGCAACATCCTCACAGACACACCCAGAAACAATACATTGCATCCTTCAATCCAATCAAGGTGATACTCAGTATTAACCATTATACACATACAACACACACACACACACACACACACACACACACACACACACACACCCCACATTACTATCTCATATTGGAGAACTATAGTTACCTTCATAAGAATTCTTAATATTTCTTCCTTGGGTTATACTTAGATATTTAACTTTTTTTCAGTTGGTGTTTGTAGGAGAATATTTTCCCCCAATATGTCCTCTAACTGTATTTGCTGATATATATAGAAACAAATTCGTCTTATGCAATACTACTTGTTTCCTTTTATGTAATGTTAGTTACATTGGGTAACCCTAACAAATGGAAACTAGACTGATAATAGTAAGTACATTCATTTGTTATCAAATTCAAAGTAATGCTGCCAGTATTTCACCATGATAAGGACTGTTAGTTTGGAGCAATTATGTTTTCACAGATTAAGGAAGAAGCCTATATTATTAGTCTGTTGATTTATTCACTTACTTGTTTATAGCTGTAGATTTGGGGATTAATTTCATATGCTTCAGCATTAATTAAGAATATTTTGAAATTATTTTAGCTTTATGATGAACATATTCTAAATATCACTATATCCATCATAAGTCCTTTAAAAAGTTCTATAAAATCCAATTATTATTCATATTATTCTATATGGAATTTTCATATATATTCCAAAGTTTTATTTTTATTAATCCTTTTTATCTTTTCAAGTTTATAGTTATACTTTTTTAAAAAAAATTGGGATTAGACTAGTATATAAAAGAATTTGTACTGTTACCCTTTTTTAGTTTCTAAACTATGATTTTGAGGTATAAGTGAATTGTTCAGTAGAATATAATTTTGAGTTGCTACTTTTATAAGTGTTTAAGCCAATCTGATTGTTGACATAAAGCAAATTAAATATACACATACACACACACACACACACACTCACAGTGTATAGTAGACTTAAAATATATAACTTTTTATTTGTTGTGTTGTTTGATATACTTGTCATTATTTTTATAATTTCATTTTGCATTTACAAAATTTATTTTTTGTCTCTTTTCCTGACATTTATTAGGCTGACATAATTTCTACTTTCCTACATTTCTTTTTTCTTTGTAAAATTAAACATCCTATTTTTCTTCTCAGCAATTGCAATTACAATAACATATGTCTAGATGTGAATGTATCTTTTATCCAATGCAACATTAATCTCTGTATTAAAACCTAGAACAGTATTCACCACCATTTATGTCTTTGAGTACTCCCTCTTGCATTCTCTATATAAATAAGAATGCCTAGGATGAAAGCCAGAAACTTTTTATAATCTAACTTCAGAAGTGACATCCCATCATTTCTGTGGTGTTATATATTCTCCAAAAGTGACTCAAATACATACATTCCACACTGTAGAGGTGGCTGCTGCACAAAGGCATGGATTCCAGGAAACAGGGATCACTGGGGGTCATTTAAGATACTGCCCATCGTAATAATTATTTAATGATATGGTTTTACCTCTGAAACTCATAACCCATCCATATTGTTTCATATGTAATAAAATGTAGGATTTTAACCTGTATCTGTTCAAAATGTTTAATGATGTTATTGTGACAAAAAATATAAAGTATTTTATTTCTAGTTCACAAGGTTTTACAGGCAGCAAATAAACATTATAGCATGAATCATTTCTATCTGTGTCTTTATTTGTGTTTAACAGATCCTATCTCTCAAAGGCTGACAGTCACCAAGGTACACTCATATTACTGAAATTATTTGATTTTTAAAATATAATAGCATGTTTTCCAGTGGTGGTATAATAATTCATTTAGATCTTAATTTCATTTCTGTTGGCCAGCTCCTCAGTCACTCCCCTATTCTTAGCGGGGGAAAAACAACACACACACACAACACACACACACACACACAACAAAAAACAAAGCACAATGTTGACTCTTAGTTTTCAATGAAAGACCACAGGGTAAACCTTCTGAGAAAAGGGATTTAGTTCAGTTTAACCAGTTCTCAATTTCTAGCACAAAGAATATACAAACAATATACATTTTAAAATTTTTAAATATTGAGTCCAATTTAATATTTGATGAAATAAAAAACTGAAAATGAAATGGCAGATTCTCCTGAGTGTGAGAGAAAATGGTATGACCACAAATGGGTCAATGCATTTTAGACCTTTACAGTGGTCCCTGAGGTTCTGAACAATGATCATATCAGCAGCAACATTGTTGTTCATTATACTGTAAATGTATGTTAGACCTCTAAGATCCTTATATAAAATTGGAACGGAAAGTAAACTGCTATAATGACTGAGATTAAAATTCCCACATGATCGTTGAGATATTGGCATAGTACTGATTTCAGGTTGGATTTATTTTTACGATTTCTTTTTCTTAAACCATTACTTTTTAACACTTTGAGTATCCAGTCTAAGCAATACATCTGTTACATACATGGAGGCTTATATAAAATTGCTAATATTTAAAATAGTTGCAGGCAAATTACCCAATTTAAAGTATCATTAAAGTTGATATATTTAAGGACACGTGTCATAACCCGTACAGGCTTTTTTTTGAGACAGAGTCTCACTTTGTCATGTAGGCTGGAGTGCAGTGGCACAAGCAGGGCTCCCTACATCCTTGGCCTTTCAGGCCCAAACAATCCTCCTGCCTCAGCCTCCTGAGTAGCTGGAACTACAGATGTGCACCACCACGCTCGACTACTTTTTGTATTTTTTTGTAGAGATGACGTTTTGCCATATTGCCCTGGCTGGTCTCAAACTCCTGAGCTCAAGCCACCTGCCAGCCTCAGCCTCCCAAAATAGTAGGATTACAGGCATGAGTCACCTCACCCGGTTTCTTACAGGCTTTTAATAAGAGCATCATTGTGAATACATGTCTAAAATACATTGTATTTTTAAATATGTTTGAATCTACCTTTTGCTTATTCTTAATTGTAAATGTGATAAATGCAAAGTCAAGGAGGATATCATAGTAAGATTCTCTTCATATGTCTGAGTATTTTTGATTAAGAGGATGTTGGAAGACTGTAGGCAATTGCATTAGCTCCCTATTACTGCTGGAACAAATTACCACAAATGTAGTGGCCTAAAACAACACAAATTTGTTATCTTGTAGTTCTGTCAGTTAGAAATATCACTAGGCTAAAATGCAGGTGCTATGGTCTAAACATTTGTGTCCTCTCGAAATTCTTAAGTTGAACTCCTGACCCACAATGTAACGATATTAGGAGTTTGTGCCTTTAAGAGGCGAGTAGGTCATGAGGTCAGAGCCTCCATGAATGGGATTAGTGCCTTTATAAAAGAGGCCCTAAAGGGATAGATCCCTATAGCCCCTTTTATTATGCAAGGCACAGCCAGAAGATGGGTCCTTCCCAGAAATCAAATCTGCCTTGATCTAGGACTTTCCAGCTCCCAGAACTGAGTGAAATACATTTCAGTTATTTATAAGCCATCTGGTCTATGGTATTCTGTTACAGGTGTTAGAATGGACTGAGACACCAAGTACTGGCAGAGCTTTGTTGCTTTTTAGAGGGTTTACAGGAGAAGCCCTTTCTTCTAGAGTTTAGAGACTGCCTGCATTCCTAGATGGCTCTCTTCCTTCATCTTCAAAGTCAACCAAGGTGGCTAGGTTGCTTCTCACAGGGCATCATCGCTCTGACCTATGCTTCTGGCTTCATGTCTTTTCTGAATCTAACACTTCTGCCTCTCTTTGCCACTTATAAGAACTGTTGTGATTATATTAGACCCACCAGGATAATTCATGATAATCTCCTTATTTTAAGGTCAGCAGATTAGCAACCTTCATTTCCTTTTGCCCTGCAACCTAGCATACCCACAGGTTCTGGGGATGGAGACCTGGGCATTTCAGCAGGGCCATTAATCTGCCTACCAGGCTGATTTTGAGATAACTTTAAGTTAGAAAGCACAAGTCAAATACTTTCGTTTTGTGAAAACATGAATTTCTTAATGCCGTATGTATACTATTTGAAAACTACAGATTGTATAAAAATAGCGTGACTGCTTAAAAATGGGAAGTAGTCTTTTAAGGAACGCTCCTTAAGAAAAGATGGTACTGAGAAAATCTTACAAGGATGTAATTAAACTACTATAAAAAATTGAATTTTGAATGTGCATGCACATGTGTGCCCATGAAATGGGGAGGGGAGAGACTGAATAAGGACGAGAGTGAAGGTTGATAAAGAGAATGTATAATATGTATGATATTTGGCAAAAACATTTTTTTCACAAAATCATTTCTGTATAAGATAATATTTGTTCTCTTAAAAATCTCTCTGAGATTTCTTTGGAAAAGATTTGTTTAGACATGGAATCATTTACGCCATTAATTAATGGCCAATTTCCTTTTACTTAAAAACTACCGTTGCAATTTTCTAACGAAAGATAATGACTGCTGAAATTATATAGCTCCCTTCTTCATCCTTGCATTTTTATCTTTCCTGTCTGTGACACCATCACACTATTGAGCTATAACCAATAATTTTCCCTTCCAAGAGTGTTTTTTTTAAGAGTATCAACAGGACCTATTTTGATACTCTCACTTTCCTGTTCAAGTTGATTTGCTATAGTCCCTTTACGTTCAGTTGTCTTACATGTTTTTGTTCGTAGAAGGTACTGTGTTGCACTTCCAACACTTTTACAGAGCCCATGTTTAAAACAACAAACACAGTACCCCTTTGCATTAATAATAACATTCTTTCCTACTGATAAGTAGTGGTTGAAACCTCTTTTAAAAATTCATGATGCTGACCTTACTCAGAAGACAGTCCATCCACGTTTGTTCACAATACTCTGACTTTTGCCCCTCCACCATTTTTCCCTCAATTTCAGAAAAGATGCTGTATTTTTCATAGTTTCTTTTGAACTATAACTGCTGGCAATACTTCCCTGAACTTAACCTGACGAGACAATTTTAATTATCTCTTGCCCTTCGGGGAAACCTTCTACTTTTCATGCTAAGGAAGCTGGATATGTTCTAAAATTCTTACATTATTGATAAACTTCCAGAGACACTATTAATCAAAGTTATTTTGGTTCTACCTCCTACCAGCCTATGAACTCATATTTACCATGTCACCTTAAATGCATTAAAATAGAGCATTTTCTACCACAAAACCTAGAGTTAATTCAAATAAGTTCTGATACATTGTGTTGCCTTTTACATTTTGCACAATACTTACCACATTTATGACTCTATCTTTATTAGTATCTTTCCTCTTCCTGAGACTGTGGGCCACCAAAAAACTGGATCTATTTTGCAGAACATCTTTCTCTGGACTTGAACTCAGTGCCTGGAATAAAGAAAATCTCGAAACATTTTGAATGTTGAAAAAGTGCAAGCTGATCCCTATTTCCTATTGCATGTTTAACAAGGTTTTGGATAGATATTATGAGACTAGAGACTGATAACCCTTGTCAGTATTTTTATATATTTTCTAGACTCTATGAACCAGTATATATATTTATATATATATATGTGTGTGTGTGTGTGTGTATTTGCGTGTACATACACACACATACACACACATATGGTGACTGCAATTATAAGCTCTAGTTCTGTAAATGCAAATTAATTTTATGCCATGGGAAGGTAACAGAGCTTTGGAAATCACATCAGTCTCTGCATCTGTGACACCTGAGTTAGACTCCTGCCCCTGCCCCTTTGGTTACATGTTGTTGAATATTGCACTTAATTTTTTATTGCTTCAATGTCAGTCTCTAATGTAAAAGAGAATCGTATTTTAGGAAATGGTAACCAAGATAATATAGCCCATATATTGAGTGTCTGGTTTCAATAAAATATTTATTCCAATGCTTCTGACCATTTTTTCATATCTACTTCTTAGTTAATATACAATTTTGTTTTTTGACCTACTGTTCCTGTTTATGGATGTTTTTATTCTATTATCTCTTTATATATCCTGCAATAAACTGAAGTCTTTATGAATATGTCTTAGACTTCTTTTTTTTTTTTTTTTTGAGACAGTCTCCCTCTGTCACCCAGGCTGAGTGCAGTGGCAGATCTCGGCTCAATGCAACCTCTGCTTCCCAGGTTCAAGTGACTCTTGTTCCTCAGCCTTCTGATTAGCTGGGATTACAGGTGCACTACACCAGGCTAATTTTTGTATTTTTAATAGAGATGCGGTTTCACCATGTTGACCAGGCTGGTCTCAAATTCCTGACTTCAAGTGATCTGCCCTCCTTAGCCTCCCAAAGTGCTGAGATTACAGGCATGAGCCACCATGTCCAGCTTAGATTTCATTTTTAATTAAATAATTTCTCTTATTTGTGTTTTTGTCTATTTTTTCTTTTATTTTGAAAAATGACATTTGCAAACTTTTTTCTGAGTGGGAAATGTATCTTCTCACTTACTTTTCCATCCGGTGGTTGCCCCCAACAAACCCCTTTTTCAGCCAGATGTTTTTTATTTGTTTGTTTTTGGTTTTGGTTTTGGGGTTTTTTTCTTTGTTTTTTTGTTTGTTTCTTTTTTTGAGACAGGCTCTCACGATGTTGACCAGTCTAATCTTGAAATCCTAGGCTCAAGAGGTCCTCCTGCCTCAGCCTTCCAAGTAGCTAGGACTACAGTTGCATGCCACCGATCCCTGTTGAACCATACTTTATATTGGGAGTTCTTGCCTACCAGTCCAAAGTCATATAAAGACCCAGTTACTAGAACACTGTAATGCTTGCTCAGGTTCGCAGGAAGAGCCCTCCAGCCACCTCAGGTAAGCGTGCAGCTGTGAAGTTACCAGCTGCAGGCATGGTGGTAATCCTCCCTGTCTTGTTCAGCCTCTTCTCAACAGACAAAATTCCATCCAGAACCTGCCTGAATGTGGAAGTTCCTGTTCTATCATTGCACTACATCCTCTTACAGGATTTCCTTTCCTGACTACAGTTTAGTTTCTGGACTCAGAGGCCAAAGGGCTATGCAAGCAGCTACTGCTCATCACCAGATTTTTTAATTCTATTTAAATTCTGTGAAGATGCTTAATATTTAAATATAATTTTACTACTTCTGCTGCTGTGTTTGTAGTGATGATGGTGCTGCTTGTAGTGGTAGAAGGACACAGCACAATAAAAAGAACAAAGATGTCACTTAATTAATATTAGCTATTAGGATCCTCCTTTTCCAACCAGGCATCTCACAGAAATGTTAATTTTACATGTGCACAAATTTAAAAGCAATGCATTTTTCCCTAAATTATGCACCTCCTGTTGCAAGAGATGCATTGGCACCCAGAATTACCATGCACCCACTTACAGAACCTGGAACCTTGATCTTGCCCTGAACTGCTGTCTTTCCTCCTGCAACATAGCAAAACAGTGACCAAGTATAGAAACCCTAATTCTGAAACTTGTTCTATATCAAAATCTTTCTCAATTCTCTATTTCTTATACCTAACTCAGGTATAGGTTGACTGAATTCAGGTATGACTGTTGTCTTGGTGAAAGTGATTTTTACAAGGGTAAATATACAAGCCACCTGTAGATATTTAAAAGTAAGTAGACAATGAGGAATCACTGAAATGTCTTAAACAAGAAATATAATCTAAAGCTTATACTGTTATGATACTATAAAAGACAGACTTGTTATTCTTGCCTCTATGTATGACCCCCCCCACCTGCCTACCAACTTTGTCAGATTTACATGTTGTTTACATACATTAGCAAAGTAAGTTTGCACTGCGTGTATGAGTCCTGATAGTGTCTCTTACCTGTTTGGAATGGAGTGGTCAATAAATCATAACTGCTTTTTCCTACTATTTACCATTATAAAGATGGTGAATATAACCATTCTTATAGACGTTAGAATATATTTTATAAATGTTATGAGCTATAAGGAGTTGGAGATGACTGAATTTTTTTAAGTTGTTTTGAGCTGAGTGCATCCTGGTAAGTGATAGATACGTACCAATTTTTAAGCCATATGCTGAAGATCTGGAAATATCAGTTTGGTTACCATTTTTAATATTTGCCACAATAAGCCTTTATTCACGTTTAGAATATATGACTTCCGTAGATGTGATACTGATCTATTTTTTCCTTCACAAATGCCACAATCCACAGGAATGCTCTTAAAAATATCTATATGTGTATTTACAGCTGTATCTGTATATGTATGTCATATATATGTGTTTATGTGTGTCACTTTACTTGTAATTACTTTTGATATGAGCGGAAACAAATAGATGAAGACTTATTAGAAATGCAGAAACTGAAGTAGAGAAGAAACTTTCTACAGAAAAATGAGAAAACGTGCTGTTGTTTCCTAAAACAGCAACAGGGAATGTTTTCAAGTTTGATGTTTTACAAGACACATTTGCATGTACACACGCAAGAAAGATTGCTTATCTGACTTGGTTTGAAGTTAACTAGGTCTAAATTTCCAATGGCTTAAGCAAATGTTCCTTTAGGAAATATGAGTGCCAATGATTCCTTACATATTGCTTGTTATACAAACTACAAACATGCTTTGAAATTTGCATGCTGGCTTAAGCAGCTCTCTAAAATTATCAATTATACTCTCAACTATTTCCCAAATAATATAATATCCCTGAGACTATATGCAATAAAGCTGTGTGAAATGAGTAAATATTAGAACACCTACATATATTTTAAAATTTCTACTTGAGAGTATACAGTACAGTGTAAGTATAACAATAAATAATCAAATGCTGGTGATTACTATTAATATTTCTACTATTAGGACTGTAGTATTCAAGAAGGTAGAGTTGTTTGGTCTCTATCATTTATTTGTCCTTTACTCTATAATGCCCTGTAACTTATTCTTATTTTTTATACCATACTAAAGTAAAATCAGGGTAAACCAATTGATTCTATAATGTTTTCTCCCAAAATAGATAATAAAATTATTAAATCTGTTGTGAAGGCTATAAGATGAAATTATATAGTGTGTGTGGTATACATACTGACTTTTATATATGTATATTGATTCTGTGCATCTTATATATAGATACAGATATTTACTTAAGTTTTAACAGCTAATGTACATATCTCCCCTCACATACACATATGATTTTTAAATGCTTTTTGTGTGTATGGATTCAAGAGAAGGAGGTTTTAGGTATGTGATACCTTTGTTCTGGGAAGCCAACTAAAATAGTCATCATGCTATGCAATTTCAATATAAATACCTTCTTTAAAAATTGAGATAGTTCAAGCATGATGGATTCAGGGTACTGAATTCATTTTGGGTGGTAATTCTTTAAAGTTTCTAAGGTAACATATGGCTACAACTCTTTAGGTTAGATTATTTTTAACCAAAATGCATTTTATTTCCAGCTAATGTGGAAAAATATATAAAGAGAGTAGCTATGATTCTGCATAATGTCTTGTATCTCTGAAGGGGCTCAAATCCCTATAATTAGGGTAAATTATTTTCATTAAGGTCTCTGTACAGAACTGCTTCAAGGGAGGATTACATAATTTGAAGAAACAGAACGGAAGGTTATGCCACACCTATGCATGTAACTCCGATCTTCTGTACTGAAAGAATCAGTATCTATGTGAAATAGCATCTTCTTCATAGCATTATCCAAGTAGTTAATATGCATATGCAAGAGATGTAGTGATGAATGTTTGTTTATTTTTATCTGTCCACCTTAATCCACTCTTATTAGTCCATGACATTGGAGACCAGGTTTGGAAGTTTCAGCTTCTATTCTGCAACTCTTCTGGATGTCCAGAGACCCACTTTGTCTTTGCAAGATGATGAAACGTCCTAAGTCATTGCAAAGGGGAGATTTTGACATAGGGTCAGATTTATAAAGTGACTTTTACTTGAAAGATTGATGGGATTCTTGCAAGCAACAATCAGATGCCTGTGTCAAGAAGAACTGGTTATCTGTGTGGGCAATGTGTAGTATTCACAGAAGTGAAAATCTCCTGCTATTAGGACATATCCCCAGATGGTGTTGTCAAGCTTGCAAATTCTAACTCTTCTCCTTTCAACGTTATCCTCCAGTGTCTACTATCTTACTTCTACCATCCTTTTTCTAGTGTCACCCACTATCTCCCTTTCCCATTCCTTAGGATGTCTCTCATTTAGCCTTAGTGAGGATGGAGAATACAAAGGATTAATCTTGCTCTTAATTTTTATTCTTTCCAGTTCTATGGCTAAGGTCTAATCTATGCCTGGAATCTCCTTTATCTAGAAACAATTTTGTTAATTACTGACTCCTTCCCTTTATATCCCAACAACTGGAATTTTTAATTATTCTAGAGGCTGTACTCATGACTCTCAATGTTGAAGACAGAATTATCTCTAAGAGATGAGAAAATTAAAAAATCCCAAACATTGATACTTCTATCTTACTAATAGATTATATGTAATTTCTACATGGCTTTCTAAGTAAGCAGTCATACTCTATTTCAAATAAACTCTGCTTTCAAGAGTTTATTTGAAGGAAAATGTCTTATATAGGTTAAAATTTTAATTGTGAAATAGTTTTAAATGCTCTCTGGTGTATCTATATATAATTAATATTTATTAAGAAACTGTTAATTAATTGATATTAATTAATAAATGTTATTTATTAATTCAAGGGAGGTATGTGTATAATTAATATTTATTAAGAAACTGTTGTATGTTAAGTTTTGTGAGGATAGTAATAAAAAGACAATAAAGATGTCTCCTCCCATGGGGCTTACATTTTAGTGGAGAAGATTCAAAATTAAGTAAATCAGGATTATAGTTAACTTTAGAGAGAAATAAGTATGATAAAGACAATAAAAGTAGAATAATAAAAGAAACCTAGCCTAACTGCACCTGTCGCCTCCACCAACAAAGTGCCGACCTTCAGAAGCAGCGTTGCTTGGTTAATCCTTAGCTGAACACAAATGCACCGGTGAGTCCACCTAAGCCACCAACTGATTCCAGCTCTAACCGCCAACTCGCAAAATCATGGGTGAAATAAATATTATTTAAAGCAAAAGTTTTGGATGGTTTGTTATTTAGCAAATCTAACTGTTCTGTCTCCTGTTATGGGTTTGTGTCCACCCAAAAATTCATGTAACAAAGTCCTAATCCCTAGAATCTCAGAACATGAACTTATTCAAAAATTAAAAATAAAAAATAACCTTATAGCAGATGTAATTAGTTAAGTAAGGGGACATCATTCTGGGGTATATTGGTCATAGTAGCCCTTAACCCAATATGACTAATGTCCTTAAAAAACATGAAAATTTGGACACACACAGGAGAATGCCATGTGAAGATAAAGGCAGAGATCAAGATGATGCTTCTACAAGCTAAGAAATACCAAGATTGCTATCAAGCCACCAGAAGCTGGGGAGAGGCAGGGAACTAATTCTTCCTCAGCTCTCTGCAGGAAGCAACCTTGCAAACACCTTGTTCATAGGTTTCCAGCCCCCAGAACTGCACGACAATACATTTCCTTTATTTTAGCCACCCAATTTGTGGTACTTTGTTATGGTAACCATAGCAAGCTGATACATATGCTAAACTCATTTTACCTTGAAGCCTTTTTTGTTACTATTTTATTTGTTGGGAGAATAATTTTCTCATTTTCTTTTTTGTTTTTTCTTTTTCTTTCTTTCTTTTTTTTATTTTTTATTTTTTTGACAGAGTCTCGCTCTCTCGCCCAGGCTTGAGTGCAGTGGTGCAATCTCGGTTCACTGCAAGCTCCGCCTCCCGGGTTCATGCCATTCTCCTGTCTCAGCCTCCAGAGTAGCTGGGACTACAGGTGGGTGCCACCACGCCCGGCTAATTTTTTTGCATATTTAGTAGAGACGGGGTTTCACCTTGTTAGCCAGGATGGTCTCGATCTCCTGACCTCGTGATCCACCAGCCTCGGCCTCCCAAAGTGCTGGGATTACAGGCGTAAGCCACCGCGCCTGGCCTCTCATTTTCTTTTGAATTAAATTCTAGCTCTAGTGTTTTTGCATCATAGATTCCATGACCACATAATCCAAACTATTCTTCCTCCAGTCATACTGGAGGAAGAATAGGCTAGGTTTCTTTTATTATCCATCAGGAGAGCCAAGAGATGTTCACATATTGTTAACAGTTTCAAAGAGCAATAAAAGAAAATGTTCGATGTACACATGCTTTCCAAATCCCTGTTTGTTTCATGCTGGCTAATTTCTCATTAGTCCAAGGAAGTCACACCTAGTCGCAATGGTTAGAGAAATAGCTCCCCAGTCTTGAGAAGAGGATCTGTAGCTTTACATTGCAAGAGGCTGGGTGCAAGGACATGGATAATTTGTGGCCATTTTTACAGTTTACCACATTTATCTGAAGACTTTTGTGTGAATATTTGAAATTTTGAATTGAATTATTTTTCATTGGCAATTTTAAAAGAAATTTTGTTTCATTATGTACATGAATAAAAGGGAAAGCGTGAAAATGGTAACAAAAGCACAGAATTTATTTCCTCCATCTTTGCTTCTATAACCCTTTTTTCTGCCTCCATGTAGATGATTTTCACGATCTGGACATTTCCCTCAATGCAATGAGCCTGATTTATAATACATGGGGTAACAACCATTTTCCAGATCAAGAGAAAGCCAAAGCTTTAGGATTCTAATTCTCAGTACCATGACAGAATTATAGATGCAATCTATTACAGTGGCTATCAGTCATGATAGCTCACATCTTGAGCAGTTGTTTAGATATTTATCATGATCCCCTTTTAACCTCAGTCCGTTACCACAAAAGAACCTACTTCTAAATTTGTCCCTTTTCTCCAAGGCTATTACTTAAAAGTTGGAGTTTTTAGATCTAATTGGCTCAGTTCTATATTTCAGGAAGATAATTCACGTTCTCTTTCCGTATAATAAAACTTCCATGTTTTTGGTGTAATCCAGTGTCCATTGTGTCATATTTTGAAAAAACTAGTCTGATTTCCTTCAAGGCAGCATATCTTCCCCGTTGACTAGCACATTAATGCCTTCACATAGATAAGAGGTGAACAGGCCGGGAGCAGTGGCTCATGCCTGTAATCCCAGCACTTTGGGAAAGCGCGGCAGGCGGATCACAAGGTCAAGAGATTGAGACCATCCTGGCCAACATGGCGAAAACCCATCCTACTAAAAGTACAAAAATTAGCCGGGCATAGTGGCACGCATCTGTAGTCCAAGTTACTCAGGAGGCCGAGGCAGGACAATCTGTTGAACCCGGGAGGTGGAGGTTGCAGTGAGCCGAGATCACGCCACTGCACTCCAACCTGGTGACAGAGCAAGACTCCAACTCAAAAAAAAAAAAAAAAAAAAAAAGGTGAACAACTTAAATTAGGAATTAGGTCAATCTGACCATGGTTCTGAAACTTTTAATCTAGAAATACATGATCCATTGATGAAGCAAATAAAACAAGAATTCATTACTTGTGATGGAGGCTTGCTAATTGAGGTTGCTGAACATGTTTTTATGAATTGCCCTGGAGCTGCCTAATGCCTTGTACTAAGCTTGGCTCTCCAGTCTTTCTCTGACTCTGTAAAATACCTAACATTTTTCCATCTTATTATTTTTCAAGTAATTTTCCATTGCCTGCAACAAAATACTTTAATGCATAAACTCGTATGAAGAAAATCATTAGAATAATCTTAGAGAAAATAAATACACATGGAAATTCTATTTTGTGACATTTGAGTAATATAAATTTATATTTAAATCATTATTAGATATTTTGTCAAAACAGTCATTTCATACAATGTACATATCATCTGGTTCTGTTTGTGCTTTCGGTCAGATGAAAAACCTACTTATTTGTCTTTTAATTTCAACTAGAATGATTAGAAGCTTCCATAGGCTATACAATATATTTTGGAACTCATTATTTTTATTTCCTGAATTGTCACGCGGTCCATATGATATAAGCTTTATACTGAATAATGAAATTGTGTGAAATGTTTGAGCAATTAATGGGAGTGGTTTGAAAATATATAGGCTAGAGGCAGAGTGAATGTCAACAAATCTTATCATAAAGATACAGCAGAGAAATAATCTTGATTAAAAAGAAAAAAAAGACTAGACTATGTCACATATCATAAAATTGTCTCCAAGACTTCAAATCTACTTTTTGTCATTCAACTAGCAGAGATCAGTTAGCCAATTACATATGTTAATATATAACAAAATTTACCATAATGTCTTCAAATAAATAATAGTGGTTAAAAAATCTCAACCCACAGATAATTTAAGAAAGTAATATAAGAAAAACCTTCCAATACATTTAAGTTTTGTTACATTATTTTTGTCTGCAATTAATTTTTCCTTTTTCCAAAATAACATATGTGTAGCAAATACATGTTTTGTTAATAAAAGGCATATGTAGCCATTACAGGTGGTGCCCTGCTCCCATCACTTTGGTCCTTAGCATTCATTGCACTGACTTTCACATGCTAGCATCTGCATTTCTTTAACTGCAGGCTTCCTTTGGTGTCAGAAATCTGCTTTAGCAATGCACACAGCAGGTCAGAAATGCTAGAAGATAACATTTTGGGGCCATACCTCAACCTAACACTGATGGGAAAGGCCCCTACCATCCTCACTTATTGGTTGGGAAAACTCCAAGGTACATGTATTAAGTCATTCTCACACTGCTATAGAGAAATATGTGAGACTGGGTAATTTATAGAGAAAAGAAGTTTAATTGGCTCATGGTTCTGCAGGATGTACAGGAAGCATAGTGGTTTCTGCTTCTAGGGAGGCCTCAGGAAACTTACAATCATAATGGAAGGCGAAGAGAAAGCAAGCATGTCTAACATGGCCAGAGCAGGAGGGACAGACAGAGAGAGGTGAGGTGCTACATACAGTTAAACAACCAGATCTCAGTGAGAACTCTATCATGAGAACAGCACCAAAGGGGGAAATCCACCCTCATCATCCAATTGCCTCCTACGAAGCCCCATCTCCAAATTAGGGATTACATTTGAACCTGAGATTTGGGTGGGGACACAGATCCAAACCATATTGTATATATTTTAAGTTGCCTATTACTGTTTTGTGTGCAGGATTAAGCACCAGTAACTTCCTTGATGACACATTGCTATGGGCTTCCTCTACCTCACTTTTCATGTCAGCAATCCTCTGCCTTTATTTGAGGTTTCCTGGGATGACCCCCAGAATACGTTCATTTGAATCTTTGTCTGATGATCTGCTTGGGAATACCCAAATAAGACCAAAGAGAAATGAATAATGTATAGGAAAATAAAGATAAAAGGCCTGGAGGCACTCCAAAATAAATGACCAGGTAGAAGAGCATTAGACTACAAAGGGGACAAGCATGATGCATAGACCGGTTATCAGCCTAGGGCAGGATCACTTATTCCCATGAAAAACAAGAAAGCGACAAATGTGATCATTCATTTTATCCAGACCTTTCTGTTCCTACTCCTTTTGGCATAGGAAAGATATAATTCCATGAGAATGGAATTATTCTAAGTAGTAGAATTTGAGTAAATAATGAACAAATAAATACATAATGAGTGAATTAACATAAAAAATACTCCAAAGTATATTTTATAGTTGACAAAGAAGTATATTGGAAATACTGAACCCACATAAAGGAAAACTTATTGTCAATGATATTTTTCCCCAATAAGAATTTTATTTCTTAAAAAATGTTAAGATAAGAAATATTAAAGAGTTTTAATATTGTAGCATACATCATAGATATATAAAGAGTAAAAATCTTATTGCTTATAATACCTGACTCTGGAAATCATGTACAGTATATATTTAGGAAGAAGTGAGAGATGTCAGAAGCTACATTTTAAAAGTGTAGCTTGGGAACTTGGAGTAAAATTTCTGAATATTGGATATCTTTTCCATACAACTAAAAAAGAGTACTTTCCTTACAGCCAAGATATAAAATATACCTATTCTCCGACTTAGGATGGTAAATTTTTAGTTGATCTCAGAGCCACTTACCACATCATACGTAGGTTGAAATCATTTAGAATGCATATGAACTTGGTATGAATGCACAATTCAAGCAGCTCTAAATGACTAAAGTAGCTTTAAATAGGTTCAGTGTAAGAGTACATATTAAAGTTATTATGTCTAAAAAGTATACATTTCAAAGGTTCAATAGTTCAAAGTTCCTCAATATTCATAAACCAATGTCAGGTGACAAATTACCAAATACATTAGTAATATATGTAATCCTAGCCAGTATTGTATACATTACTACAAACACAAGTCCTCACATTTCTCTTAAGGCTAAAAAATACATTATTTAAATATCAAATTATTTTTTGTGTCATTATAAGCTAAAGCATCACCTAACAACACTATTGAAGAAGAGAAAATCGTACAAAGTCACGAATAAAAAGTCATTTTCTCATTGCGTTTAGAAAACAATTCCTTCCCTTCACTCCAATATTTGTTTCCCATTTCCTTTATTTAGTAATAGAAAGAAAAAAAACATGTTATTTTGGGTATCCCAATATTTAAATGAATATTATAGTATTTTGATTCAACATATCCTGAGCTTTCCAAGAATGTGGATGACAGACTTATTCGTATCAATACACAAAGTCCCTCAAAGGATTACTGGATACTACAGTAAATCAGTCACTATTTATAGGACTGTAGGTGTCAGATCCCCTGGTACTGAAAAGGAAAGGAAAGGAAATTGTTACATGGCAGCAGAGAGTCATGGTGTGGAAACAAATCTGAACTTAGGATGAGCCTTAATCAGTTGTAAGCAACCTCGGGCACAGGCTGGGAATAAAGCCCTCGGCCCCATTTCCTGCTCAAGCTACCATTTGGCCAATCAAATATATGATTTCCCACACAATGCTCTCTAAATGTCTGGTAAAATAAAGATGGAAGATATGAAGACATTTGCATCTCCCTTTAATTTATAGAATAATGATGATTTCTGGTCACTTTCCAGCCATACATAGTAATATGTCTTCTCTTTTCCTTTTTGTCTCTTATTATAATTCCCCTAGAGTTGGTTGAGAATTTGAAAGAATGCTATATCCAGGATGTTTTCTGAAGTGGCAATTTTATTTTGGATGGCAGAGACTCTTACCTGATAGTCTTAGCAGCTGCATGACTGTCTGCTAAGCATGGCAGAATCAATAAAATTTGTTTCCTTAAACAAGAAGTCACAATTTTCCTAAACTTAAAGTATCTTTGTCTATTTTGTTAGCAAGTATATGAGTGAGAAGGGCATCATTCAAGATCTTAAGGTAATCACTGTGAATTATTTAGTGAAATAATATGAGGTGGATAAAAATGTCTGAGTACTTGGCACTGAATTATTGACTTAACTCCAGCACTCCATAGCCATAGAGTAGCCAGTTTAAAATTAGCATAGAGAAAGATTTTTCTTTGAAAGCTACAGTATAAAATACGTAATGTTGGGAAGACTAGGCCAGTTTGTATGTGATTCAATGCACCTTAGCGCCTAGCCAAGGTGGTAAATTTGGGGTAAATTCCAGCATAGGCATAGTTTAGTAAGAGCCTGTATTAGGACATGCCAGGAAGAAGTATCCTTTGCAGTTTGTCCAAAGAGGCAATTCCTTTCCTCCCATAATAATACAGAGAGCACTTTTTTCCCAATCTGTAAGAAGGCATAAATAATAGGAACTAGAGGTCTTTCCAGGAATTCGTGAAAAATGTAAGGTAATCTGAAAATAAGGCTAGAGAGAATTCTTACTCTAATGGTAAAGAAACATGTGGATTTATAATGCCTGAAGACTGCAAGGCCGAGAAACTAAGTTCTTAATTGTGAATGGAGCACTTATGCTATCTAATATCTCTAGCAGACAAAGATAAGACATTTTTTAAAAATTACATCAGTTCTTGAAATTAAAGATACGAGAAACTATAATACAATAAAACGAAAACATTTTCTGTCCAAGTCTAAGCTCCTCATCTTAAGGCCAAGCAAAAGGAAATGAGTGCAATGAAGTGAGACTCTGAAGAAAGGTCAAGTTATTACTTCTTCCAAAGCTTCAGGTTATTTATAATCAAAAAGCCACATCTACTTGAAGATAAAAAAAAAGTCAGTCAACCATGTATTCAATAAGAGACAACAGAGCTATTCTATTTAAGACAGACTTAATAATGTGGAAAACTATGAGGTCAAAACTTTTCTGATTTGTTTATTATTGTTTTTATTATTATTTTGTTCTAATATATTCCTTCTTGGTAATTGGTAGATGAGTTTACTTTATGCTTAGCTCTCCTACAATCAAGAGTTCATGTTTATTGGTGAACTTATTTGATTCTTAACATAATCAAAACCAGATTAAAGGAATATAAGATATAAAATGTCTTAAGACATCATTAAACCCACATTTCTGCTTTCTAATTTTTCCTTTCAGGACAGTAATTTGAAAGAAAAAATCTTTCCTAAGAATGAAAACGTATTTGGAAATCACTTCTCATTTAGATTATTTTTGAGACTCTAAAGAGAATCTAAAAGAGATTTCAAAATCATTTATCATTTAGATTATTTTTAGTCATAACTTAACATTGGATATATTTTAATTGAGTTATATTGAGTTACTATTAACTCAGTATATATTAATAATAAAATTGAATTAAGCCATTGTGCTAGTTAAAAAGCAAATTTGTCTACATTTGAGAGATACTTCACAAAACATCTTGGTTTCCTAACTACATGATAACTTTACAAATTGATCAAGGAAAGATAAATGAATTATGTGCACTTGCCTTCCTTCCTCCTTCCTTCCTTCCTGCTTTTTCTTTCTTTCTTTTTCTTTCTTTTCTTTTTCTTTCTTTCTTTCTTTCTTTTTTTCTTTCTTTCTTTCTTTCTTTCTTTCTTTCTTTCTTTCTTTCTTTCTTTCTTTCTTTCTTTCTTTCTTTCTTTCCTTTCTTTCTTTCATTCTTTCTTTCTTTTTATGGAGTCTTGCTCTTGTTGCCTAGGCTGGAGTGTAGTGGCGCGATCTCGGCTCATTGCAAACTCCGCCTCTGGGGTTCAAGAGATTCTTCTGCCTCAGCCTCCCGAGTAGCTGGGATTATAGGCATGTGTCACCGTGCCCGGCTAAAATTTTTTTGTATATTTAATAAAGACGGGCTTTCACCATATTGGCCAGGCTGGTCTCAAACTCCTGACCTCGTGATCTGCCCACCTTGGTCTCCCAAACTGCTGGGATTACAGGTGTCAGCCACCGTGCCTGGCCTTGATAATGTACATTTTCAACCAGCCATTTTTGCTACTTATTCTTAAAATTTGGATACATTTTATTGTTAATAGTGAGTCGTTCCCTGGCCATCAGAGAAATGCAAATCAAAACCACAATGAAATACCATCTCACACCGGTTAGAATGGTGATCATTAAAAAGTCAGGAAACAACAGGTGCTGGAGAGGATGTGGAGAAATAGGAACACTTTTACACTGTTGGTGGGACTGTAAACGAGTTCAACCATTGTGGAAGTCAGTGTGGCGATTCCTCAGGGATCTAGAACTAGAAATACCATTTGACTCAGCCGTCCCATTACTGGGTATATACCCAAAGGATTATAAATCATGCTGCTATAAAGACACATGCACACGTATGTTTATTGCGGCACTATTCACAATAGCAAAGACTTGGAACCAACCCAAATGTCCAACAATGATAGACTGGATTAAGAAAATGTGGCACATATACATGATTCAATACTATGCAGCCATAAAAAATGATGAGTTCACGTCCTTTGCAAGGACATGGATGAAGCTGGAAACCATCATTCTCAGCAAACTATCCCAAGGACAAAAAACCAAACACCGCATGTTCTCACTCATAGGTGGGAATTGAACAATGAGAACACATGGACACAGGAAGGGGAACATCATACACTGGGGACTGCTGTGGGGTAGGGGGCGAGCGGAGGGATAGCATTAGGAGATATACCTAATGTTAAATGACGAGTTAATGGGTGCAGCACACCAACATGGCACATGTATACATATGTAACTAACCTGCACATTGTGCACATGTACCCTAAAACTTAAAGTATAATAATAATTTTAAAAAGTGAGTCGTTCCTAAATTGAAAATTAGAATTGATTACATTCTTACCTTGATAATCAATCTTAATTAATAGCTAGAAGGAAATTAAATATTTCATAAAATGAAAGTGAAAGAACATGGAAGATTCTTGGTAACTTTCCTCAAAATATAACTTTTCTAGTTAAATGAAAATGACATAAATCATATAATGTGTTCCTGTTTTTTATAAGGAACAACACACAACGTCAGCAAAAAACGAGTTGGAATTTAATCACAATGGAGCTACCGATATTTTCTATTTACCTGTGGAGGTGATACAAAGCTTTATACAGGGAAAACTGGCGATGTTAAGTCACCACCACCGACACCAATAACAACATAACTGAAATGAGAATTTTTGTGAAATGATTTTAGGTGTCGGATAAACTTTTAATAAATCGGAAAATAAGGCATTGAGAGTAGAAACACTAATAATAATAAAAGGCAGCATGGTATTACAAGCTGGGAGAGGCCATGTACTTTGGATGTGCTTGGCGGAGAGAGGTTTATGCTAGCTGCTTTAATTAGGAATAACTTCATGAAGAAATTGAGATATGATTTACATTTTAAAAAATGGTTGGCAAAAAACAAAAACTGAAACAGAAAGAAAGAGTATCTGCCAGTTTTTAGTATTGGGACTGGAGTGATTGAAATATGATACAGAATGATGTGAAGTGCCCCACCATACAGAGTTGGTGCCTTACCTACTCTCCTTAAAAGTCAACAGAGAAAGCTACCTACAGTCAGCTCTAACCAGCACAGAGACCAGAGCTCTTAGCAAATGAAAAAAAGTCATGTTCAATTAATAGACTTCATTAAGACTAATATCAAAAGGAGTTGCTTAAAACTGAATACAGAGAAGATGTAACACCCAAGAAAATATAGTAAACAAATTGAAAAAAATTAAGTTAAATATAATTAATATCTGGGAAAAGGCCAAAATAAATCTATATAGATACATGAAATTAGATATTTGAGCATTTAATATAATTTTTAAAATAAAAAATTGAGCTGGGCCTGGTGCCACAAACCTGTAGTCCCAGCTACTTGGAGGCTTAGGTGGGAAGATCATTTGAGCCTAGAAGATTTAGAATAGCCTAGACAACATAGCAAGACCCTTTGTCTCAAAAAAATAAAAATTCAAAAATAAAAGCTATTATAGATTACACTCATTAAAAAAAGTAAAATATGACTAAATAAATGTATCAGCCGACAAAAGGATAGGCAGGAATTTCACAGAAGGGGAAAAGTAACAATTCTTGAAGACAATTTTGTCTTCAACAAAATTGAAGACACACATAGCACACAGGAGCAAACTGTTAGAACATTCACAGCAATATTATTGATAAGAACTAGGCACTTTAACCAATAACGCTGTCCTTTGTCATTTGAGTAGGTAAATAAATTGTAAATATTCATAAAATCCTGAGCATAATGACACCTAATATGTTAAGTGGAAAACACTAGTTGAATATTCATAAAATCCTGAGCATAATAACACATCATATGGTAAGTGGAAAACACTAGTTAACCAAGGAAATACTCAAACTTACCCATGTAAATTTTTACAACTTTTAAAATTAAATGAAAAGTTTAAGAATACATACATATTTGGTGACTGTAAAGAAAATGAAGCTCTGATTAGTAGAGAACACAAGATAGTACTTATTACTGAGGGTGGGTAAATGCAACCAGATAACGGGAAACAGGGAACTTCAAAATTATTAGAAATATTTCTTTACTTATTCCGAATTATGGATGTGATGAGTTTGATAAACAAATTTGGTGCATTAAAATTGAGATAAACTTTTGATTGCATATTTAATGTACATCTAGAATTTTCTAAAGTAAATGAAAAGAATATGATAAATTGAAAAATATATTAGGTATATGAAGATGGATTCTAATAAGATATTCGAGCTAAATGAAAAATGAGTGAATAATTGTGTAGGAAATTTAGAATAAAATAAACCAAATATCTAATCATACGGTAAATTACTCGTGTTCCTAAATCTGAAAAATGCAAATTCATGAAAAAATAAAATATATTTTATCACTTATCAAAATGGTAAAAATGAAAAAAATGCTAAGCTCTTGCAGAGATAAGGAAAAAGGAGGAAGAAATATGATAAATAATTTTGGAAAGCCATCTATCACTATTTAATTAAGTTATAAATACACCAAATGTTAAACTGAGTAATCTCATGCCTGGGAATCAGATTCAAAGAAATAAATCTACCAGGTTATAGTGAAAATGGGATGCTACATACTGTGCTTATCTAGAATGCACGTGCTAGAGTCCAACACTTGTTATATATTTGGTCTTGGAAAATTTACTTATCCTCATAGTATCTCTTCTCTTTATCTGTTATGTAATTATAGCACTTTGTGAATAAATTTTAGTATTTCATTTTAACACTGTTGGGAAGAGTATATATATATTTATAAATATATATATAATGATATCACACATATACACGATGTTGTTAATATTGATAATAGAAATGGGGATTTTGATGATCAAAAACATAGATGTTGATGATTAAAAATAGCAGGTATAATAGCATTTATAAATGTTACATATTCAAATATGACGTGTTTATTTACACATACGCATAAATGAAATGTATAAAAGGATAGTTAAAAAGAAAGATAAAAGTAAAAATAATACAAACTTAAATAGATAAGCTTGAAAAATTGAAAGATGGGGATATGATCAAAGCAAAACAATAAATAGAGGCATGGTTTGTTGAACGATTGTACCCCATAAATATGTTTAATTATAATGTACCAATAAAAGGTTTCAATTTATTTTAGATTGCTGTTTTCTTTAGTTTATGTGATAGCTGACGACTACATAGCAATTCTTTTCCTGTGTTTCCTCTTTTGACATCTCTGTCTAACCAACACAGCAAATCATTTAATTTCTACTCACCTCACATTCTTAAGAAAGACTTCTCTTACTTTCTCGCCCAGTGCTTTTTAAAATTTCTTTCCATGACATCACTTTTTTAAAGAAAACCTTAAAACAATAACCATGAAATTGGCTAAAACAAAGACAAAATTACGATTAACAAATAGTAATGGTCTGAAACTGTGCTAGAGCTGACTCGTAATGGCTTGTGAGAGACAATATTTAAATTTTCAGAAATTTTGCAAGCCAGTTGACGTCATAGTGGTAGCTTGAAATCAACAATAGTGAGTATACTTATTTCCTAAGGCTGGTGTCACAAGTAACACAAATCGAGTGATGTAAACAACAGAAATTGATGATCTCACAGTTCTGGAGGCTGAGATCACGATGCTAGCAGAGCAACCCTCCATCTGAAGCTTCTAGGAAGGATTAGTTCTCTTCCTCATTCCTACCTTCCTGTAATTCCTTGTCTTATGGCACCATAATTCCAAACATTACATGGTGTTTCTCTGTGTATGTATCTGTTTCTGTGTCAAAATTTTCTTTTTTTTAAATAAGGACAGCATTCATATTGAATTATGGCCTACTCAAATGACCTCATTTTAACTTGATGATTGCCCCAAACACACTATCTACAAATAAGCTCACATTCTGAGGTACTGGGGGAATGGGCTCCAACATATCTTTGAAAGGAAATACAATTTGACCCATAATGGTGAGAATATTTACACTGTGGATATTGGCAAATACTACACATAATTGCTTTTTCTTCTCCCAAAGCTGGTTACACAGAGCTAAACATGCTTTTATTAAGCATTGGTTTTCCTCCTGGGGCAAAAAACAACATGAGAAACGAGAACAGATTGAGTATTAAGAATATAAAGCCACTGGTCTGGCCTTCATGTTATTTAGAAGCGCATTCTGTGAGAGTAACTGAAGAGTCAAATATCTGTAGATTAAATAAGTGTCACACAATTCTTGTATACATAGTCACTTTGTATTCCGATTGTAAAATAATTATATTGGATTTTGATATATTATAAATTGGTCCTGAATTTCAATAATATACTTACCTGGTTTTTGTAAGTTTGTGTTGTTGTTGTTGTTCTAACCTTCTTGGCTTTTGAGGCACAGCACTAGATAAGTTTATTAAGCTACAGGATATATAATAATGGTGAAATAGAATAGAATACAATAGAAAGAATAGAATCGAATAGAATGAATATCGTATAAACCGACAAAACAATGAAGAATGACATTGATAATTACTTATATTTCTATTACAACTCATTTTTTTATGAACGCAATTTTTGTGTTATTAAATAGTTACAAAATACATTGTTGACATGTAAGAATCAACACAATCTCCTCTTCTGAAAGTATTTTTTACAGGTCAACACTTGAAAATATCTTATTCAATTTCCTTCAATTTTTGCAGTAGTAAAAGATTGACACTATGCAGCCTTCTTGTTAACCTGTTAACATTAATCATGACTTTTAAAAAAGGTTGTGTTTTCCACATTTCTTTTAGGGTATACACATAAAATAGTTAACCTGGAGGTATTCTTGATTTATCAGAATATTGCTCATACACTACTTCAAAAATGCCTCCAACTAAGATGTGATTGACACAAATTTCATTGTTTGCTGAACTATGTGGAGGAAGACAAGAAATATACCATCTCCTGTGGAGAATAAAATGTAAGTATAAGTACCAAAGTTTCATGTTGGTTGCCAACAAAAACAATTTCCCAGTAATGTATTTTCTTCCTCATTTCATCTCTTCACACTCATATCTTACGGATAATAATCTACTTATTTTTTCTTTCATATAAAAAGTTACTGAAATGAAACTCCTTGAAACAAGATAATATATAAAATGAATTTGTGTATTTATAAATAGGATGACTAACTTAGTGCTTCAATAAACATGGAATAAACACCTTCTATTTGAACACCCTGAGGTAGTTCTATACACACCAAAATAAATGAGATTATCTTATTCATGAGAAACATACTGTCAATTTAGAAAGGCAAACAACAAATAATTACAATGTAACATAAAACAAAATAAGTACCATCAAGTAAAACATTCTATAATGTATGCTTATTAAATAAAACCAATAATTCAACAGGAAGCAAAGAAATTAAAAACCAGATGATAAGTCTCTTTATTAACTCAAAAATAAAGATTTATGGCTCTTCTTATACCATAGTGTTGATCGTGGTGGCATTTATTCTTCTGAAAAAACATTTTTGTCTTCTTAAAATTATTTCCCTTAGCTACCATGTTAATTCACATGGGCTTCTCAGTATGGATTTTAAAGAAAGTCAACACAAAACAAAAGATTGTAATAAAAGAGCTCTTTTTCTTCTATGATTTGTTTTCAAATGCATGAAATAGAGATAGACTCAGAAAAGATGCTTTATAATCAGAATATCCGTAAGAGGAAACTAGGAAGCTGTATGGAGGGAAGGAGACTTCTGGGAAATAGCTGGCGCTCATTCTTGCTCTCACCTTTACTCTGCACCTCTCAGAGTTACAAGATTTGTGACATTTATCTACTGAAATCACAATTTCTTCCCATACTCCCACTTAATTATCTGCTTTTCACTCAGCCTCTGTCTGTTATTCATGGTTCACACTTCTTTCTAACTATAGCCGGCCACATATCTATAACGGCTACTCTGGCCTTTCTACTTATGAAGACTAGTTCTCTCCATCTCTCACTTCCAGAAAATACCCCCTTTATATTGGAAGGCAAATTCTAGAAAAAAGAAAATCAGATTTATTCTGCCTTCAACCAACCTTCACACTTTCCAGTATTGCAATGTGCTTCTGGCAGAAACAGATTTCATTAAAATGGAATGTGAGCCTAGGAAATAATAGATACTTCCCCAATACAATACTTCAGGGTAATCTTATTTATTTTAGAAATATAAGAAAGTATGTTATTAGCATGTATTAGCATGTATTTGAACAAATAAAAAAGAAGTTCCAAAGTATAACTGGAAAACTTCAAAAGAGACATATTAGAGAGCATACATTCTTGTAACTACAGAGCCATGAAATCAATACCAGTTGGACATACATTTGGAATTGACCAAAAGATTCTCCAAGGACATATGTTCCTTACACTAGCTTGGTTAGCTTAAAGAATATAAAGAAGGCGAAACAACCCAGAGGAAATAGTTGTGTTGGGAGGTCCCACCTTTGTCAAGCACAGCCTCTGAAGCCCTCCACCCTACTGGTCCTCTTATTTTCCCCAAAGAGATGAATCTGAAGCAGGTACAGACCACTTCAGCTCAGGGAAGCCACCTCTCCATCTACTAACGTTCTTTACATGCCACGCTCATCAGGGAGCCCCTGTAGGCACATGAGCCAAGACCATACTACCAGTGCAGCGGCAACTTCTTGATCAGGAGTACTCCAGGGAACAATTCTAAAAACCAGAGGAAAACTCATGGTGGTCATTCCATTTTTCATTCATCTCACTCTATTCTGCACATCAGTTCTAGAAGCATGAAAATTCAGGGACATCCCACGCATCCCTGGGTCTAGGGATAAAACTTTAGACCAGCTATTAGCACAGGTTTAAAAACCAGTTGTAGCCACTAGCTCCAGGATTTCTGTAATGATACATGGATGAACTTCGTGGATTGCTGGCGAACCCACTGAGACTACCCGCTCAGAGGTGTGTGCATATTTTGACTTGTCTGGGGAAAGAAGAAAAACTTTCATTAGTTTTTCAAAGGGATTTATTATGAAAATGAAAAAAAAAACCCAGCAGAATTCTGCATTTAATACTGAAGGAATTGACACAAAGATTTATATGAGGCAGTCTCAAAGGAGCCAAAGAGCAAGCTCAAAATCCAAAACACTTATCCACATTGCTTTCTGGGAGAAACACAGGCCCAGATAGAAATTAAGCAAACACTTCTCATTTCACACCTAACTAGTACAGTGGCTCCAAATCTCTCTGGAATTAACACTGGCATGCAAGATAGTAATGTCATTTAATTGTAATTCAGAATCAATTGCCTATAGTGTTGATTTTTGAAATTTCTATATATCTCCCTTTTTCCTACAAAGGGAATGTCTAAGAGTAAGTTAATTTCTTAGCCACAAAAGGCCCATTAATATTTACTTCTTCTATGCTCGTATTGAAGCATGATTTAATAGTGATGTTTGTGTCTTCAGAATTCTCTAGCCCCCTGTCAAAAAGACCACATCTATCATGTTGATTTGTCTCTAACAACCAGAGGTTAATGAATAGAGGTACCAAAGGTGATACAACTTCTATTGTCTTGTGTTGCAACTATTTTCATGGAGGGCAATTTAGCAACACAGATTTTGTTGATTTAAATTGCCTGTAAATACGTAACTCATTATTCTTCAATTGACTGAAATCATTTGGGAAAATTTACAAAGATAAAGCCTGGCAAAATGATTGATTACCCTTTTTCATGGAGAAGACATGTTGATGTTTTTAATGAACAGAAGTTATGCATATTTTATAGAGCACGTTTGTGATTTAAAAAAATCTTTTTGATTTTTTTGAATGGCACTAATATATTTTTAATTAAAAACCTAAATTATTAATAGTTATTGAAATCTTGAAAACTAATATATGCATCTAAAGTTCATAACACCTCTATGTAAATAGACATATTGAAAGTCTAACTTGTAACATTTTACATCATTGCATAAATTTAATTCAAATAGGTTTGAACATGAGTGCTTTAGCAAAGTACAATTCATTGAATATGTTTTCTAAAAGTTTTCCTATTTGATCAAAGTTTAGAGATATACTTTTTCTAAATTTACAAATGACAAATTAGGAAACATTCACATGAATACATTCACATGCATACAGCATGTGAGGAAGTCTTTGGGGTGTAATTTTGTCATTTTGTTACTCATTGTATTATTTGCTTATTTCTATTATTCTTAGAAGCTATACCCATTTCCTAAATTATGATACACAAAATGTATTGCAATGGCATACTTTATCATATTTAATCTAAACAAAAAAGAATATTAAATTTTAATATTTTATGTGCAAATCACTGTGCCATATAATATTCAGCTTAAGAAGGAACTGGAAACACGGGCTCTATCTAAATTTATCAGACTCAGTTTTATAGTGATGCATTTATTTGAGATTTGGGAATCTTTCTGATGATCAAAAGTTTTACATGCATTGTTATTAACTTTTTAAGGTATGATCTCAGTTCATCATGATTGGCTGAGTTATGGTATGACAATAAAGCAATTTCTAAATTTAGTAACTTAAAACATTAAAGTTTACACAGTATACATGAGGCATACCCATACCGTGTCAGCTGAGGACTCACCTTGCTGAAATTACTGAAGAAACAAGGCTGATGGGGCTGCAAGCGCCACGGGCTTCCATGATCACAGAGGTGGGAGTAAGAGGACTGATGCACAAAGTGCCTCCGTAAGGCTTCTTCCCATAAGTGGGATATTTTACTATTGTACATATTGCATTGATAGAAGCAAAACATGTGATCCACTAGGATGGGATGAGCAAACTTTCCTTATCAAGGAACATCTAGTAGTTTATTTTTTTCACGAAAGTACAGTCTATCCCAGGTAAATTACTAGAGAAAATCATCAAATTCTTTCTACTTAATTAAAATGGTTTCTTTCCCCACTATTAAGAAAAGATTACTGTAATGATTCCCATGCATATTTATCCATAGTGAATAATGCAAAGAGAGCTGCAAAGTGAACTTATGAAATGATCACTGGATTTCATATATAATTTCCTAGTTTGGGTCATAGCTATAATACATATAAACCCATGATTTTGGAAAACCTGGGTTATAATCTGTAATCTTTGGGTTCTTATATCTAAAATGTGATTACTTGTATTTATCTTATAGAGTTGTTTTGAAGACCACAAAAATTGATGCGTACAAAGCCAGAAACTCTAAAGACATATAAATTAGGCATGGTGGTTTATTTTATTATTCAGATATATAGATATATATATATATACACACACACACACACACGCACACACATTCACATATACATATATGTATATACATATATATGCGCATATATACACACATTCACATATACATATATACATATGTATGTGTGTATACATATATATATATACGTGTGTGTGCATATATATATACCTCCAGTTTATCTTGAGAAAATTTAGAATATTTAACTGAATCCTATCAGAAAAAGAAAAATGTGTATTTCCAATCCTAGCTGAGATATATAAAAGAAAAAAACATTTGATATGCTATATGGACATGATGTGGTTCATAAATGATTGCTTGATGTCATATAAGAGCAAAACCAGTCATTATTCTACCAGCTTGTTTCTCTACAGTGACTAAAATCCTAGTGAAAGAAGTATTCCAAATTTCATAATGGAATGATTGGAAGCTGTAAAGAGTCAGAATGGCATTGAGTGATAAAGAACAAAGGAACAACTAAAGCAATGAAGAAAGTACTTCAGGGACTACATGAAATATGTCTTCATGTCACTTGGTAATCACTTCAGTGAGATGCACCACTTTCATACCGTGGAAATTCTAGGAATGGCAACTAGAAAGAAAATGAGTCCTGTAGAAACAGTTGCAGGTATACAGTATCAGAGAGATTCCCCAGCTTTATGTTCAGAGTAAAAGCAATAAGTAATGTTTTAAAAAGTGTTCAAAAGTTATGTGGGTGCAGGAATGCTAATAACATTAGCACTGTGAGGAATAGCCACTACCATTAAAGATCTTAAACTCTAAATGTGGAAATAAAGTTTAAACACATTCAAATTTAAATGAAATGCAAGACTCACATTGAAGAGTTGTTCTAATACACTGCTAACTTCTACCTGGGTTGTGCATATGCATATGTATTCATATATAGAGATATTACCATGAAAGGGAAGATTTTTTCAATTATGTATTACATTAACAAATATTTTTGCATATCTGCTATGTACCAGTAAATGTGTAGATTTTAGGATCACAGTGAGAAGGAGAGCAGACTATGTCTTCATTGAGCATTGAAGCTAATGGGTGATAAATTTAAAATAAGAAATACACAAATGAATAAAACAATTATAAATCTAAGTAAGAACTATGCCTAAAATAAACAGACAAACCAAAAGATACAATGTAATCTGAGAACCCCCCAAAAAATCACAAATGGGGTAATGTATAAGAAAGTGTTTTGTTTTTGTTTCTGGTTTTTTTTTTTTTTTTTTTGCAATTACAGATAGTCTGTGTGGATACAATCACAGACACTCATCTCCCACTCATGATTCTGCAAATTGGCAGTGGCTCTATTTGGCTCTGCTCATTATGTTTTACATCCTAAATTTCAGGCTGAAGAAGCAGCTCCCAGCTAGTACACGGTGTTCTGATTGCAGAAGGCAAGAAAAAAAGGGTGAACAAATGCACAGAGGTGCATTGAAAAGTTTAGATATGAAATACACATAACCCCCTAGAAAAAGACAGACACATAGTGAAGGTCAACAAGGGGTATGCCAAAGGTGGTATGTAAAATACTCTTACAGGAGAAGATGAAGACAATTGGAGAAAATTGTACAATATACCACTCCGCTCTATTAGTTCTAAATATCCATTTATCTCCCATATGAAAATACAATCTTCTTCTCTGCAGGAATTAACCCAAAAAATGTCTCATTCAATCATGATATGAGGCTCAAAGACCAGAGATTTTTAATATGCCTCAGTTCCACATGCAGCTCTTCCTGCTCTAGCTGGCTAACAAGTAATAATACAAGTTACATAACTCTCCTCAAACACAACATTCAATAATACAAAATAGCCAAAATGAGCACATTCAGAAAAGAGAAGAAGCACACCTTGTTTACTGGTCCATAACAATTCTGAAATCCCTCTGGGATAATATAGTAAGTTTCTCCTATTCGTGGATAGAGAATGTTTTCCTGTTAAGCCCATTGCACTCCCTGGGAGCACATAACTCTGTTCATTTTTCTCTATGACTCTTGTTTCTGCCTCTGGGAGACCATCGTTCTTCCATTCATCTCCTTGATAACATCTGAATTTGAGAGACTATGTTATTTCTGGAAGCTAAGCAAACTTTTTAGGTGAACTTTTTGGAGGTAGAAATGAATGAAAATAAAGTGACATGTTTTTCTGAAATGGTCACAGATATTCTTAATCTGATGGCAGTGTGAAATATACAATAATGCCAAAATGTTAACTTTTTTAAAAATTAATAAATTTTTGGAAATTTATTATTATTTATTATAATTTTTTATTCCATGCAGCCCCATGTGCCAGTCGTCATACCTATTTGCACATTATTTTTGTAGTTCTCCTTGAAGAGGTCCTTCACTTCCATTGTTAATTATATCTATGATTCTTTTTGAGAATCTTGTCGCACACTTTTTCTGTTTTTCTTTCAACTTGGTGAAAAGTATGGAGCCTATCAGGTTTCAGTGGAAGTATGGCAATGCTCTAACTTCTCTGTTTCATTTTGTATAACTGAAATATTTACCGGGGACCACTTTAAGGTAATTTTGTATCTTAGAAAAGGGGATACTAGCCAGCCTTTTGAATTTGTTTTTCCTGAGTCTAAGTTTCATTCTAGATCTTAATAGGCATTTGTAAATAGTAGCACTTAATTACTAATAATTTTAATTAGTCTTCATAGGTATGACTAACAGGGAAGTGAAGGACCTCTTCAAGGAGAACTACAAACCACTGATCAAAGAAATGAGAGATGACACCAACAAATAGAAAAACATTCCATGGCCATAGATAGGAAAAATCAATATTGTGAAAATGGCCATACTGCCCAAAGCTATTTATAGATTCAAAACTATTTTCATTAAACTATCATTGACATTCTTCACAGAATTAGAAAAAAAACTATTTTAAAATTCATATGGAACCAGAGAAGAACCCAATTAGCCAAGACAATTCTAAGCAAAAAGAACAAAGCTGGAGGCATCGCACTGCCTGATTTCAAACTATACTACAAGGCTACAGTGACCAAAACAGCATGGTACTGGTATAAAAACAGACACATAGACCAATGGAACAGAATAAATAGCCCAGAAATAAGACCACACATGTACAACAATCTGATCTTTGACAAACCTGACAAAAACAAGCAAGGGGAAAGGGGGAAATAATTTTCTATTTAATAAACAGTGCTGGGACAACTGGCTAGCAAATATGCAGACAATTGAAACTGGACCCCACCCTTACACCACATACAAAAATCAACTCAATATGAATTAAAGACTTAACTGTAAAACTCAAAACTATAAAAACCACAGAGGAAAATCTAGGCAATACCATTCAGGACATAGGCACAGGCAAAGATTTCATGAAGAAAACACACAAGCAATTGCAACAAAAGCAAAAATTGACAAATGAAATCTAATTAAACTAAGAAACTTCTGCACAGCCAAAGAAACCATCATCAGCATAAACAGACAGCCTACACTATGAGAGAAATTTTTTGCAATCTATCCATCTGACAAAGGTCTAATATCCAGCATCTACAAGGAATTTAAACAAATTTACAAGACCCAAATAAATAGCCTCATTAAAAAGTGGGCAAAGGACATGAAAAGACTCTTCTCAAAAAAAAAGACAAACACGTGGCTAACATAAAAAAAGCTCAACATCTCTCATTATTAGAGAAATGCAAATCAAAAACCACAATGAGACACCATCTCATACCAGTCAGAATGGCTTGTACTAAAAAGCCAAAAAAGCAACAGTTGCTGGCCAGGTTGTGGAGAAAAAGGAAGATGTTTACACTGTTGTGGAGAGTGTAAATTAGTTCAATCATTAAGGAAGACAGTGTGGCAATTCCTCAAAGACCTGGAGGCAGAAATACCATTTGACCAAGCAACCCCATTATTGGATATATACCTCAAGGAATACAAATTATTCTATTATAAAGATACATGCACACGTATGGTTCATTGCAGCACTATTCACAACAGCAAAGACAAGGAATCAACCGAAATGCCCCATCAATAATAGACTGGATAAACAAAATATGGTCCATATACAGCATAGTGAAACCACCTTTGCAAAATTAAAACTGAGACAGTAAAAGAGATCTAACTTAACCAACTCCATCTTGCTTCTAACCTGCAAGCTGTCTTTGTTCATTCCTGGGTGTAGGCTGAACTACCTTTGGAAGAAACTCAGTTTACAGTTTATAGTTTAAAACAAAGATAATAACAGCTCTTTCCCAAAGCAGACCTCCTTCTTGCCTGGGGACTAGATTGCCTTTGTAGGACCAACATTATCCATGAGATTAGAAATTATGGTTTAGGAGTCATGCAGCTGGAGACTACAAGATTCTGATCCTCCCTTAACTGATCCTGAGATCAACGTTTGAGATATTTTGCAAACTCTGCACTTGACAGATCAGTTGGCACCACCCACATGGATAAACTGGCTCATCTGATCTTGAGACCCCCACCCAGGAATTGACCTATTGCAAGAAGACAGCTTCAACTCCCAATGATTTCATCTCTGACCTGACCAATGAACACACCTGGCTCATGGGCTTCCCCTACCCACTAAGTTGTCTTTAAAAATTCTGTTCCTTGAATGCTTAGGGAGACTCATTTGAGTAATAACACAACTCTGGTCTCTGGTATAGCTAGCTCTGTGTGAATTACTCCTTCTCTATTGCAATTCACCTGACTTGAGAGATCGGCTCTGCCTAAGCAGAAGGCAAAATGAACCATGGGGCAGTTACAATGGAATACTATGCAGCCATAAAAAGGAAAAAAATCTTGTCTTTTGCAGGGACATGAATGGAGCTGGAAGCTATTATCATCAGCAAACTAACATAGAAACAGAAAACTAAACATCACATGTTCTCACTTATAAGTGGGAGCTGGACAGTGAAAACACATGGACACCTTGCGGGGGAACAGCACACATTAGGGTCTGTCCATGGCAGGGAGGAAGGGGAGAGGGACAGCATGTGGAAGAATAGCCAAAGGATGCTGGGCTGAATTCCTAGGTGATATGATGATCTGTGCAACAAGCCACCATGGTATGCGTTTACTTATGTGTTTACCTATGCAACAAACCTGCACATCCTGCACATGTATCCCTGAACTTAAAATAAAAGTT
Source organism: Homo sapiens (assembly GCF_000001405.40). Lineage (NCBI taxonomy): Eukaryota > Metazoa > Chordata > Mammalia > Primates > Hominidae > Homo > Homo sapiens. The sequence goes on along the minus strand of NC_000005.10, from coordinate 19,338,457 downwards.
AGAAATCAAAAAATAAAAAATAAATACAAGTATTTACAAATAATGTATGAGAATCAATTATTTTTCTAATCACAAAATATCCAGAATTTGTGGTACTTATGTCTACTTTTCTTTTAATTCTTCCCTGCAATTAGGCCAATTACTATTTGAGCTCATTTTTTTTTTTTTTTTTTTTGAGACGGAGTCTCGCTCTGTCGCCCAGGCTGGAGTGCAGTGGCGGGATCTCGGCTCACTGCAAGCTCCGCCTCCCGGGTTCACGCCATTCTCCTGCCTCAGCCTCCCAAGTAGCTGGGACTACAGGTGCCCGCCACTACGCCCGGCTAATTTTTTGTATTTTTAGTAGAGACGGGGTTTCACCGTTTTTAGCCGGGATGGTCTCGATCTCCTGACCTCGTGATCCGCCCGCCTCGGCCTCCCAAAGTGCTGGGATTACAGGCGTGAGCCACCGCGCCCGGCCTTGAGCTCATATTTTTATAGCACTTCATCACATAAAGTAAAGAGAGGTTCGTTAGTAGGTTCAAAAATACACTTAAATAAAAGGAATAAGTTCTAGTGTTTAATAGCTCAGCAGGGTCTCTAGTTAACAATCATTTATAATACTTTAAAATAGCTAAAAGAGAAGATTTGGAATGTCCCCAACACAAAGAAATGATAAATGCTTGAGGTGGTGGATAGTCCTATGACCCTAATTTGACCATCACACATTGTATATATGCTATAAATTATCACATGTATCCCATAAATATGTACAAATATTATGCATCAATTAAAAAATGAATCAGTCAACACTCACTACCAGCATTCTACCAGCATTCAACACTCACTACCAGCATTGATATTACAGGCAAATTGTATTCCTGGTAGAAATTTCTGTTTAGTCAGGTTTCAATACAGAAACAACACACACATGTGTTAGCTTACAGAAATGAAAATTCGTTTCTCATTCAGCTGTTGCTGGTGACTCTGCTAGGTTCTGGTTGTGTGTGGCTCCACTAGGCTTTCCTAGACTCTAAGAAGTTGACCCAAATCCTCCAAGCTCATTTAAAGCACCCTCTCAGAAGGGATGGCATGAAGTCTGTTCCAGTTTCATCGCATGCGACAATCAAATGGCAAACACATATGATGAATGTAGAGATATAATCTGCCTATAGGAAGGTACAATGTAATAAATGTCATACCAAATCCATGACCTAAAAATTATTCATGTATACTTAAAATTTGTTCAGGATAAGTCATCAAAACTAATTCTATATAAGTGTATTCATAGTGCAAGGTGTTAAAAATAATAAAGTATTAGCATTTTAAAATAGAAAGTGCAATTAAATTAGAGTGCAAAGAAAGATAAACTTGCATTTTTTGAAATAATAAAAATTCTGTCACTTTGTTTTTCAAATGTTTTGACCTAACAAACAGTAAACTATATTATTAATATTGTGATGTAAACTATACACATGTATATGAATGTATGTATGAATACACATATACATATAATTCAAACAAAAAAATTCCAAAATAATACTTATTTCTACTATATTTGATGTATTCTATTTTATTTTACTCTCTTTTATACTATGCTTTATTTTATTATTTAATAATTTTGGATGAGCTCCATCAAATTTCAGTGCTCACCAATGGGTAAAAATCAGCAGTCTAAAACTCTGAGATTTTGATTATAAATTTATAACACACACTGCCACCCCTAACCAATACTCTCATTTATGAGACAAATGTCTTCCTATTTAATTTTATAGTTTAGTAAATATGGGCTGAAAAATTACATGTTTTTCTGTGCATTTCAGATGACTCATACTTAAAATCATTATAGTAAAGACAACCTAATAAACAAAATATGTTTTTAGGTCTTTAAATTATATGAAAAATTAAATATATTTCATATATTAGTCTAAGTAAAATCAGAAAAATAAATACATTTTAAAGCAATTCATGTAAATTAGCTTCTTTATGTTTTATAAATTAATAGTGACTTTCAGAAAAAGATTAATTTCTTTTTAATGTCAGCCTGTCAGAATTACAGATGCTGACTTAGGTGCTGCATTGGCACTTACTAGTTAATTTTTAAAATCTGTACCCAAATTTTGAAAAGTCTTTTTAAAATCATATATTCTTATGCATTTATAGTCCTTATAGTTTATATAACCTTTAAAGATATAAATTAAAAATTATTAATTTAGTGAAAACAAATAGCTTAAATATACCATAAGAAGAAAATAATTATATTATCTAAAACAAAAAGTAAATGATATGAAACATCTAAAGAATTAACTTTTCTTTTTAATATTTTGACTTGGCAAATTATAGCATATATTTATCAATCATTATTGTTACATATGAATCCTGGTTATATTAAGCAAGAGCATAGTATTCCAACTCTGCTCCTAAAGAAATAGTTTAAATGGTAATAAAGTCTTTCATTTGCTTAAATAAGAAGTCAATTAGTTCTCTTAGAAAATAAATGAAATTTTATTTTGAAAGCATACTGCAGTTAAAAAATCAAGAAGGGAAAAGAATATAGTTTATTATCTCAGAGGTAGTGTGTATGAAGGGGCATACTACAGATACATCAAATGGTTAGATACAAGGATACAAATTTGTATCCTTACAAATTTGTTAGATACAAATTCTCAGATACCAAGGAAGAATTGTATCTGAGAATTTCTCTCTCACTACTGGACACTCCTGAATCCCTATGTTCTGACATCTGAACACAAATATCATCAGCTTCCATAATATAAGTGTTTATGCTTGAGTCTCATTGCTAAATTTATCAATTCATGCCTTCTCTACCTTTTCCAGAGTGAAGATGTCAAAAGGTTCAACAACGATTCTAGGTATCCAAATTGCCCTAACATCATAGTATTTTGAAAATTTATTCAATTTAGAAAAAATAAAACTAAATCAAATTTCATGGGAGAATCTATTTTTAGGAATAATAATATTCAAAAATACTCAGTTATATCTAATCAAGATAAACAACTCTCCATATGACAGTACTTTCAAGAAGTTAAATAATACAGAGATAGCCAGTATATAATTCAGTGCATACAAGAGATGGGATTAATGCTTCTAGAGAACATATGATATGATGAGATGTAATTTTGGCAAATGTTATTGTATTAATTCCAAGTGCTGGAACAAAGTATCATAAACTAGGTGCTTTGAGCAACAAACATTTATTTCTCACAATTCTCATGGGCAAAAGTCTGTGATGAGGACGTCAGTTTGGTCAGGTTCTGTGGAGGGTCAACTTCCAGGCTGCAGACAGCCAACTTTTTGTATCTTTACATGGTGGACAAAAAAAAGCAAGCTAGCTCTCTGGTTTCTTATATGGACACTAATCTCATTCATGAAGGCTTTAGCCTCATGATCTAATTACCTCCCAAAGACCCCACCTTTAAATATCATCACTTTCGTGAATAGATATCAACATTAAATTTGGGGAGAAAGACACAAATATTCAATTTATAAAAATTATCTTGGTAAGTAATTTTGAATTTTCTCTTCAAATGCTAGCCCCTGAAAATATTTAGTATATGTGAACAAAGAAAATTGGTAGAGAATTAAGTTCAAATATACCTGACAAATTTTGAATTCAACACATTGAAATTATTATGTTCTTTTTTCAGTATATAGATTCCTTTGATATTAATGCCCATTATTATTCTCGGAGAGTGAAACATGTTGGATTAATGTTGTTCATGTTACATATTAAACACACACACATACATACACAATCATATTTTAGTTGTTAAGAATTGGATGCAAATGAATGCTTCCATCAAGATCCACGGGAAAGATGAGTAAGTACAAATAAAGCTGTTTGAAGGAATTGGCAAATACCAAGGCAAACAACTGGCAAATAATCAAGGCAAGACTTGATAAATATAAAACACAGAAAGCACGCTAACACCCTACAGATGCATTTTCTCTCATGGAATTTGCCAACTTTGGACAGAGGAGAGGATCGATAACTCAAGCCAAGGTGCAGTGCTGAGAAGCAGAGACAGCAACAAAGAGTTGTGCGCCTTGGACTGAAGAGACGACACCTAGTATTTGACGTGGGAGCCCATGGGATGGTCAAGTTCCCAATAAAAAGAGACACAGAAAAGTGAGTATGAGTGTTTGTCTTTTTTTCTTTATTATTATTATTATTATTATTATTTTATTATTTAACTGGGCAGAAATCTAGACCAGCAGCTAGGGAAAAAAGCCTCTAAAATCTGAATGTTGTCTTGTGAATTTCACAATCCTGAAGAGACAAAATTGGCATTTATGATTCATAAAGTGGTTAGGCACTAATAAACAATGCAAGATCTTAGTTGGGTTCCATGAACACTAGAAGCAGTGAAATAAAGAGTTAGGCAAATCTTTGTGAATACTATAAACCCAGCCATGAACTGATTCAATCTCTAATTGAAATAAGACATTTGCCACAATTCTCTTTGCTGAACAGACAAGAGAGTGAAGGCTTTCTGACAGAATTAACATCATCAGGCACCTACAATATATCATACACAATGGCAGGATTTAAGTAAAAGTTACCAGACATGACAAGAAATTGGTTATAAAACCCCTCCCTTATAGGAACACGTTATCAAGAGGAAGACAAGTGAGTAAACAAGAAATATCAGTGAATGATTATATATCTTGCACCACAAACAGAACATAAAGTTGACATGTAAAGAAAAACATCTTGGTGGAGATTAATTCTAAGTCTATAAATAGGGCCTTGCCATATCAGGAAACCTGTAAGAGAATCCTAGGTAAAATTCAGGATTCAAAGAAAACATGAAGCTCAGTATGGTCATGAAAGTGAAAGCTGGAGATGGAGGTGGCCTCAGAGGAGAGTCTGGAGAGGTAGGATAGGTGGAGACATCTATGTAAAACATGCTGAGGAGGTTTAATTTTATCTGGCTGTCATGTAGGTGGGCATAGGAAGAAGTTAACAACACTGGAGGAAGAAACGCTCGTACAGTCTTGCAGCAATTTTAATAGGAGATGGTATGGTCTGAATACTTGTGTCCCCCTGTGCACCCCACCACTCCAAATTCATATGGTGGAATCCTAACCTAAGGTGTTGGTATTGAGAGGTGAAACTTTTGAGAGGTTATTAGGTCATACAAGCAGAGTCCTCAAGAATGACATTTGGAGGCCTCATAAAAGAGACTCTAGAGAGATCCTCACCTTTCTGCCATGTAAGGTTACAATGAGAGGACAGCATCTGTGAGTCAGGAAGTGGGGCCCTCACCAGCCACCAAATCTGCTGGGACCTTCAGTTGAACTTCTCAGCCTCTAGAACTGTGAGAAATAAATTTCTGTTGTTTAGATGCTACCCAGTTTACGTTATTTTATTATAGCAGCCTGAATAGACTAAAACAAGAGACTACAGTAGTTTTCATTAAGGTAGAGGTGATGTTACTTGAGATCAACAATGAGTTGAAAAAGGCCAGGCTTGATCAATGATTCAAAGCAGGAGTTGAAATGGGAGATTCCTATATGACCTCTAGGTTTCTTAAAAAGTGTTCCTTTATTACTTACATATATTTCACATATATTATTTCATATGTATAAAATATTGCCTACTGACATCTTTAACCCATTCCCATTTATAAAAAAAATGCAGCTCATTGCCATTGCTCATTTAATTTTACATAAACATGCTCTTTGAGGCTGAAGCAAATCTGACTGATTATCAATGTGAAAATAAAACATAAAAACTGTTCTTGGAGTTATTTCTAAACAGAACTTTAATCCTAATGCAATAGAAATGTATAATATTTTACATTAGGATTAGAGACAAGAGTATTCTCGGGGCAAATAGTAAATGGGTTAAGAAAGAATAAATCATAATCAATTCATGCAGACATTTTTTTCCACAACTTGAAAGAAATATTTAGGTGGATACTATATAGCCTTGAGCAAAATATAGCTCCAGAAAAGTACACCACCCTTTCTCCTTGAGTGTGGTTCATTTCTTCCCCTTCACCTTTTGGTGGCTGTCTCATTCCTCTGCCCATAAACAGAATCCTGAACCCAGTTTGAACATGCAAAGATTATCAGTCTTTCGATCTTATAAGGGTGTTAATGGGAAGTAATAGAATGATGGAAGGAGTGGTTGGGAGGAGATAATTTAACTGAATAGCCTTTGACATCAGTACCACAGTTTAAAAAATTAAATACATGAAAGCTTGTTTGGGGTCTAAATAGATAAAAGTAGATCATGAGGGTTGTAAAGTAATCGAAGACAGAAAAATAGATAAATAGGGATAATTGTATGGGGGAGGATGTTAAATATTAAATGGTTATATTTATTGTATCAACTTAAGAAACTTAATAGTAAACTTTCCACATTGAGTGGATTTACATATTATAAAATCACGATTCAAAGCAAATGAAGAATTTTTGTAAAAGTAAGAAAAATCAGCTTTGTAGCTACTATGTCTTCCGTGATTCCAACTTCCTGATATTCACACCTTGGTATTTATACCATGATATAATCCATCATGATTGAGTATGGACAGGAACTGTGACTTGTGTTGAAAGATAATATATCTGAAAGTTGAAACAACATATGTCATTATGCATTTATGATGATGTAACATAAGATTGTAACACTTGTATAATGATGAACAGATCATCATGGTTGGTGATTGTGAGGAAGCAAGCCACTGTCCTGGAAAACCTCAAATGGCAACAAACTCAGGTTGCCTCTAGTAGCTAAGACTAGCCTCTATCTGACAGCCAGCAAAGAACAAAATCTCCCAGCCCTATGACTAAAAGAAACCGAGTGCTACCAGCAATGATGTGAGTGAGGAAACAGATCCTTCCCCAGTTAAGCTTCCAGTTGAGAACTCAGCCCACGCCAACATTTTTATAGACTTCTTTTCCTCCTCAGTTTTTTTTATTTATATAAATTTAAGGGGTACAAATGCCATGTTGTTACATGGATATATTGAGTAGTGATGAAATCTGGGCTGAATAGTGTACATTTTACCCATTAAGTAATTTCTCAACCCTCACCTGCTTCCCACCCTTTCAAGCCTCCAATGTCTATCATTCCACATTCTATGTCTATGCATACACATTATTTAGCTTCCACTTACAGGAGAGAACATGTGGTATTTGACTTTCTGAGTCATGTCACTTAACGTAACAGCCCTCTGGTTCCATCTACATTGCTGTAAAATACATGATTTTATTCTTTTTTATGGCTGAGTAGTATCATCCCATTAAATATATGAATATATATATGTATGTATATCTTTATTCAATCATCCATTGATAGATATATTTGCTATTGTGAATAGTGCTGTGATAAACATATGAGTACAGATATCTTTTTGACATATGATTTTGTTTCCTTTGAGTAAATTCGCAAAAGTAGAATGGCTGCATCGAATGGTAGTTCTATTTTTAGTTCTTTGAGAACTATCCAGTAAAGTTTTAATATACAAAATCAATGTACAAAAATTAGTAGCTTTTTTATGCATTAATAGTGATCAATCTGAGAACCAAATCAAAAAGTAAATCTAATTTACAATAGCTACAAAAATACCTATGGCTATATTTAACCAAGGAGGTAAAAGGTTTCTGCAAGTAAAAACTTTAAAACACAGATGAAAGAAATTGTAGATGACATAATGAATGGAAAAAAACATCTCATGTTCATAGATCAGAAGAATCAATATAATAAAAATTGTCATACTGGCCAAAGCAATCTAAAAATTCTATGCAATTCCTATCAGTGTCGTTTTGCACAGAATTAGAAAAAAAATCCTCAAATTGATATAGAACCAAAACTAAAGTTCACATAGCTAAAACGATCCCAAGCAAACATTCAAAGCTGGAGGCATCACAGTACCTGACTTCCAAGTATACTACACGGCTACAGTAACCAACCAACCAACCAACCAAACAAACAAACAAAAACAAGCTATTGGTATAAAAACAGGCACAAAGACCAATGGAACAGAATAGAGAACCCAGAAATAAGACCACATAACCACAACCATCAGAAATCTCCACACTGATTTGAGATTTCTCAAATAACATTTGTTTTGTAGCCTTCCAAGACCCTAACTTGTGAGAGACCAAAGCTTGACCAGACTCAAAAACCAGGAAAAGTGTGAGATAATAAACATAATCTTTAAGATACTAAGTTTGTGGCAATATGGATACATAGTAATAGAAAACAAATGCAAGTTTTCAGAGATTTCACAGATATATTTTTCCAAAATAAGTAATTGAGTTAATATTTTCCTTAAATTATTTAAAGATTTGTGTTCATATTGTATCTTTAAAGTTGAAAATAGAAGTAATTAACCAGATTGGACTATTAATTCCTGTTCAGTATTGAGTGAACGGTTCTATTGCATTCCTTTTCTCTTGAAGTTTAATTTTTTTTGACAGGAAATGAGGAAAAAGATGATTTTTTTCCAAGTTCATTTGGCATTTTATTGAGGATCTTATTCCTTTTTTGGAAAGAAGTATAAGTTAACCAAAATAATTTTATTTTAGCTTCTAAGTTTTCAAGTAAAAAATGAGATAAACATCTATTTTTTTCCCAAGAATTCTCTTGATATTGAGCATAGAATTGCAGAATAAATACTCCTAAATTCCACCAAGGTAAAATAAAATATTGGTGTTTGATTCCAATGATAAATATCTTTTTCTTCTCCTCCCAACTTTGGAACTAATGAAGAAATAAGACAAGATGGTCCAAGGAAAACAAAATACCATTTTTCAATGTTGGTAAAACTAGTGGAAGAAGATATCTCTAGATCTTCAGGCAATGTTTTCTTAAAGCCCATCAAATTATAGGAGCAACGATGCTATTCTGCGTGGAATAGAAAAGAAGGATGGCTCCAAAAATGGACCAGAGGAACTGAAACTCCTAGGTCCCTGTTCTTCTGTTAAATTTCTCTCTTATGTGTAAATCACTTTGTGCTTCATATAGTACGAAAATTATACATAAACTAAATTACCTGCACTATTATGAATTTTAAAAACTTCAAACAATTGGGATATTACTGAAAATTCAATGCATTCTGAAAAATTTTAGCAAAGTTAAATATTATGCGGCATTAGATTTCACCTTTAAAATAAAATGTATTTGAAGATTATTATTTGAATAAATTAAAAACTAGAAATAGAAGAAACTGGTAAATGAAAACACTAATATAGACCATATATGAGGCAGTGGATTGACATTCCAGGTTTAATTTTGTGTTGATGATTTTATCTTCACATTAAGTCAATCTAATTTTCTTGGCTGAGGAGATAGCAAAAGACAACTGAGCCACGAAGTTGCTAATTTTATTGTCCTAATCATCGCTTTCAATTTAAATTAAATTGAATGGCTGGAATAGAAATTTGAAATGGAATCTAACCATGGGTACTGCTATTTCTAATCCTATAAAGGGAAAGAATGGGACTTGGTTTCTGTTAATAAAGCCACCAAAAAAAACCCCTTAAACTTCCTTTTAGATGTATTACTGCACAGAGAACATTCAAATGTTAACTTAAAGCTTGTCTATTGCATACCATTAATTAGAACTTAATGTGCAAGTTCATTAAGAAAAGGCAACCTCTAGATTGACTTTGTTTTTTTTAATTGCAGTAGCTATAATATAAAATATATTATCCTGTATTTTTAATTACAATATATCTTTATGTAGTTTGAATTAAAAAACGATCAGGAGTGCATGTAACTTTCTTAATTGTCAAGACTTCTTATGCAAATCTGTTATCTCACATATTCTTAAAGATAGGTTCATATTTTACATCTCATTAAATTAAAAATAGTCAAAACTATCAACCAAGAGTAATGATTCTTCTTCTCTAGTTTCATCTGGATAATAGACATTTATTGTTTACTTTCTGTTTTAAATTACAGTGTGCTGACTTGAATATTACAATAGGCCTCATTTAATTTGGTTATGTGCTACCAGAGGTAACTATAGGTACATGCTTTAATACCTACTCTGACAGTTCCTCTTACGATGAAACTGTTATTCCTAGATCAGTACATTGTAGGCCAGATTCTGATTTAGAGGTCTTAAAAAGACAAAAAAGACAAATTAAAAACAAAAAAATTACCCTTATTAGAATTCAGCCAAAAACCATCCTGCACTATTCTAACAGCATATAAACAAGCAAGATAAACGCAATATAATTGCATAAAAGTGGGGTGATTATATCAAGAAAGAATGCTCTTCTGTTTTACTGATTGCTATCAAATGTATTAATGGAATTTATACTTTAATTAAAGGGCGATCCTTGTCAGTCACTTTGTTTCCCAGTTTTGGGAACTACAATTCAAGATGAGATTTGGGTGAGGACACAGCCAAAGCATACCAGCCTATTTTAAATTAATATACTTCATTCCATGTTTCATATAGAGATTTTTTTAAATCCATATGTGATAGAATAAAAAATTATTCCAGTTTATTACAATAAAAACTTAAAATGAGTTCTGAAGAATATATAATGTGTATATGTTTTAATGCCTTATGCATTAAACATTAAGATGTTGCTCTCAATAATATGTATTTGTTTACTCTTTACTTGATTGTTCAAGCCTATATGGGAAAATATCTTCAAAAGCATCAATAAAGACTACGAACTTTGTAGTTTTATTATAGTCTTGTTTCATTAATCTATTTGAAAAAATAGACCAGAACAAAATTATGCTCCATGCAACATTGTTCATCTGCAGTAGCTGCCCTGCTGTTTTAAGTTTTCTATTTTCATTTGTAGTTTATCTTCACTATGCATACACAAGCTTTATTTTATCATCAATGACCTTCTCCATAAGGACTTCGTTACCTCTTCTGCATACCTGTATTATGTTCATTTCCGCAAAGTTTCATCCTTTGCTAAATGATTTTTTTTTTTTTGAGATGGAGTCTCGCTCTGTCACCTAGGCTGGAGTGCAGTGGCGTGATTTCGGCTCAGTGCAACCTCCGCCTCCTGGGTTCAAGCAATTCTGCCTCAGCCTCCTGAGTAGCTGGGACTACAGGTGCACACCACCATGCCCGGCTAATGTTTGTATTTTTAGTAGAGATGGGATTTCACCATGTTGGCCAGGTTGGTCTTGAACTCCTGACCTCGTGATCTGCCCACCTCGGCCTCCCAAGGTGCTGGGATTACAGGCATGAACCACTGCACCCGGCCTAATAATGATTTGTATTAGGTGTTTTCAAACCCTGAAATAAGATTTAATAAAGAATTATTCTTTATTTGATAATGTATTGCTTTATTCCAATGAAAATAGACAACTTTTATTTCATGCAGTATGGTAGATATTGCATCATATGGAATCTGACATAGTAGCCTATCCCTGAATAAACCTCTTCACTCTGTGCTGGCGGGTTATCTTACATGTATGCCAATTTTCCTAAAAAACATAATCCTATATACTATGGATTAAAAACATTATCCTATACATTACATAATGTTATGTAATCATAATGCCACGAATATTTTAATCTGGCCAGTGTGACCTGTCTCCTCAAAGTTTTAAAAACCTCTGTCTTACAAACACCATGTCCAAAATTTATGCCTATAATAAATTTAACAGTGTTACTTTTACACTTACTGATGAAGATACTGATTGTTCATGTTTTAGTCTTAGATTCTTAAAGAAATGAAGAAGGAGGAAATTAGCATCATAAAACTATAATCAATTCTGCAAAATATAAAATGCATGAATGTATAAGTACTGTATTAACGGAATAAGAGTTTTCCAGTGCTTCTTGCATATACTTAATGGATTTTATATTATTTGTAACATTCACAGTTACTTTCAGGAGCATGATTCACATTTTTACATTTTTTCAGAGCATCATTTCACTGTGTTTTATAGAATATGCTTGTATCCGTGTGTGTTTTCTGTGCCTGTGTATGTATCTATGTGTGTCTGTATGCTTGTTTTTCTGGGTGATGTTTGTGTGTCTTGGTGTATATTTGTATATTAGAATTACATACACTAGATACCAGAAAACGATGTGTATGCTCAATTACTAAAATTAAAACACACACACAAATTTGATGCCCCAAAATAAAAATAATTCTCAAAAATAAATTCTAAAATTCTGAAAAATAAAAATCTTTGTATTCTGATTCCTTTGTAAAAAATGTTTCCACATTAGCCATTTTTCTCTTTTCCGTCGCTTTTGTGTGTTTCTTGGCAGTTGTTTAATTTTCTCAAAATACGTCGAATGGTAATTTCCTCCGAGATATTTGGAAAGAGAACATCAAATATAGATACTTTGTGAATACCACCATCTTATGCAATTATGCTTTTCTTTCTCCTTCAACTTGAACATTGTGTGGCAAATGAGTCCCTGAACACTAATGGGATTTGCACTATGCTTGATACCCCAGAGCATTGCTTTTAGAATTGACAGTATGTAGGAAATGAAGCAAATACTCATTGTGAAGCAAACTATACAATTAAAGGGAAAAGTAGCAGCTGGGAAATGCAAAGATTTTATATGAAAATCATAGCAAACATTGCTTAACTTTATGGAACAAGATTTGCAATGGATTTGTTATCTGCTGTGGAGGATTCAGTGGAAAAACACAATTGCTAAGACTCACAGGGAACTTGCATTTTTTCAGTACTTTTCTCTTATGGGTTGAAACAGCACCTCAATTATGACAAATAAGTAGAAAAAAATGTATTCATTTGGAAAAATATATGTATTATAACTTGTTAATGTACACTCTAAAAACTCAAAGCTGTTTATTAGAATTTAAGCAAAGCATTACATATTATTTTAAAATTTGATATATTCAAACTGTTTATTGTTAAAAAAGTGTTTAATAGGAATATTTACTTAACATCAATTGAATATATGTAATACATATATACACACATATATTCATATATATGGCTATGTATACATTATTGCAAATATAGCATACCTCTATCTCAGAGTTCTCACAAAATATTTCATATGAATGTTGCTGTAAGTACTTATATTTTCTAATACAAATTGCTTTTCTTTTATTTGGAAATATAACATAAAACAAGATTCCATATTGATCGAATAAAGCTCATTTTTTCTTCTTCTTTTCTTCTTTTTTTTTTTTTGGACAAACCTCATGATAGTAATAATACCTTGATTCTAAAACAAACTTCTTTAGATTTGAATATTTCTGAAACTTGAATTTGCAATAAATTTTTTATAAAAAACAAAATTATTGGCACTTCTCTTTTATCCTTTCATTATAAAATAATAGCATAATAAAACCAGTACTGGTAGTTTATTTTCTTAAGAAAAACATGGTAAAATAATAAAAACATTTTTTTCTTTCCTTTTTTTTTTTTTTTTTTTTCTGAGATGGACTCTTGCTCTTTCACCCAGGCTGGAGTGCAGTGGCGCAATCTCAGCTCACTGCAACCTCTGCCTCCGAAATTCAAGAGATTATCCAGCCTCAGCCTCCCAAATAGCTGGGATTATAGGCATGCGCTGCCGCGCCAGGTGAATTTTTTTGTATTTTTAGTAGAGACGGGGTTTCACCATGTTGGTCAGGCTGGTCTCCAACTCCTGACCTCAAATGATCCACAGGCGCCTGCCTCCCAAAGTGCTGGGATTACAGGCAAGAGCCACCTCATCCAGCCAATAACAACATATTTGAAAACACTTTCATATCCATTATCTTTAATTATCTTAAATTATCTTTAATTATTTCATTTAGCAGATTGTCCCTGAATATTTAATATATAATCTGCACCAAGTATAACGATAAATTTGGCAGAGATCTAGCTTTTATGAAACTCTGAAACCAGTGGCAAAAATATTTAAAATAACTGTTTAATATAATACAATGTTATAATCCAATATAATTTGTGGCTCAATCTATACCACACAAAAATGATCAGAAAATGATTTTTGGAGAAGAAAACAGTTTAGTCCTCAGAGATGACTACATATTAGTAGCTTAGGGATTGACATATTGATATTACAAAGATAAATAATATTGATCCAATAGTTTACTTGAAATTTGGCAAGAGAGCAGATTTTAAGTGTTCTCACCGCACACACACAAAAAACGGTCACTATGGGTAGTGATGGATGTGTTAACTTGACTGAGGTAATCAGTATACCACATACACTTTTTAAATCATCACGTTGTCCACCTTGAATACATACAATTTATTTGATTTTTAATTGAAAAATAAAATTGCATATATTGATGGTGTACAACATGGTGCTTTGTTCTATTTGTACATTGTAGAATGAGTAAATCCAGCTAATTAGCATATATATTGCCGAACATATTTATTTATTTTTGGTAAGACAACTTAAAATCTACTCTCTTAGCAATTTTCAAGTACACAATATATTGTTATTAACTGTAGTCACTGTGATGCCTAAAATAATTATTTTAAAAAGTCTTGGAAATGAGAAAGATTACTCAAACAAAGCAGTTTGGGACAACTGAAGTTAAAGTAAGGGGAAAAGATAATACTAGAAAAGAAAGAAGGAAATAGAGCATCGAGAGTGTTGCATGTTCTGACAAAGTGCTTGGACCTGACTCTTCGGACAACTGGGAACTGCAAAGCTTTTCGCTTCATCCAAATAAAAAATTTTACTGGATCTTGCCCCTCAGATAATTTTTCAGTCCTATCTCATATCCTTTCATGGGAAAAGACAGGCAATGATTTCAGTCTCATAAGGCCTTCCATTTCTGAAATCTATTTTCTTCCTTTTTTTTTCTCAAAAACTAGCCAATTCTTGTATGTGCTCACCTTGTAATACCCAATAATACTAGACACTATTATTTCCATTTTTTTAAAAATCACCGCTATCTAGGGGCTTTAGTTTTACCAGTTTTTTTTTTTGTATTTTAAAGTTTCTAACATGAATCTCCAGTTTTTCAAACTCCAATTTCATTTTTCTGTCTCTTATCTCCAATCTCCCATACGCTATATTATATGTTTTAGGGTTTGGTATATGAATGAACCCAATTATATGTTGATAAATATTCAACAAATAGCTATCTAAAAAATCAAAAAGCATTTGATTGTTTCTTTGGTATAAATATTCCCACCATGGGTGATTTGGTGCTGCCAGTTTTCTGTCTATGAATGAAGAGCTGGGGTTTCCAGAACCGGCAACACAAAGCCCAATCAAAGACACTACTTTCTGTATGAGTTAAGGTAATGATAACAAAAGTTTCGATTCCTCATCCTGATTATATTGGTAGATTGAAAATGGTCCTACTTTTTTCATGCCCTTTAAAATATAACTTGACTATAACTTTGTTCTTTCTCCCATGAAAAGGGAGTTTATTTCTCAGTTTCTTGAATTTGAACTGTCCCTGTGATTTGCTTAGCCCTCTGGAAGTTACTCTGTGTTGTAGAAGTTACTCTGTGTCAGTTCTGGTTCTGAGCCTAGGTCTCAAGAGTCTTTGCATGCTTCCATCCTCTATTTTACTCCTCTGCCTTCACCTTGAGAGCAAGCCCAGACAGGCCAGATGAGAGATGTTAGAGACAGGAGAAGAGCTGAGTCATCAGCTAAGAATAAGCAGGAACAGCCAGTTTCCAGCAAGGTCACCACCCAGAAGCCATAGCAAGCCCTGCTGGGTCCAGCCACACTCGACTCACGTGAACACAACCACACAACCATTCCACAAATGATTGAAAATTACTAATAGTGATTGTTCTAAACCAATAAATTCAAAAGTGGTATTTTATGCAGGAATTGTTCCAGTATAAATTGCCACCAATTCCAACTATGATATTCATAAATCACACTACATTGATCCCAATCTGAAGTTTAAACCTTTTCTCACTTGCTTTGTCTGCACACTCATGCACACACACACACACAAACACACACACATAACTGTTATGTAGCAAACAAAATAACTTGCACTATGTCTCTATTCAGTGGTTGAAAAAGAATACATTTTAGGGAATTTTTGAGGAAAGTCAGAAAACAATGATCAGACTAACATCTTATGAGGTACCTGCATTCTTATAACTTTCCATAATTTAATTAGCTTGATTTAATTATTTCTTCAAAGAGTTTTTTTTAAGATTTCTGATGTGTCACTTTTTTGGTTATTAAAAGTTTATAGAAGCTTTGTTTTTAGGATTCATTTTGGAATAAAGTGTTTTATTATTAATACTTTCACTGACAAGTGCATGAAAAGTTTAATTTCTTTTGATAAATTGTAACTCTGAATTGGATTTTCAGAGTTGTCACAGTAGTAACATAAATTGAGATGTTTAATATTGTTTCTTGGCCAGGCCTGGTGGCTCACGCCTGTAATCCCAGCACTTTGGGAGGCCGAGGTGGGCGGATGACGAGGTCAGGAGATCGAAACCATCCTGGCTAACACGGTGAAACCCCATCTTTACCAAAAAATAGAAAAAATTAGCCGGGCGTGGTGGCAGGCGCCTGTAGTCCCAGCTACTCGGCAGGCTGAGACAGGATAATGGCTTGAACCCAGGAGGGGGAGATTGCATTGAGCCGAGATCGCACCACTGTACTCCAGCCTGGGCGACAGAGTGAGACTCTGTCTCAAAAATAAATAAATAAATAAATAAAATAAAATAATAATAATATTGTTTCTTTTAATTTTCTGCTTGTATAGATTCTATAAAATTATATAGCCACAAGTGATACAGTGATATTCACTAACATCAGCTGTGATTAAGGTTATTGTTCATGTCAACCTAAAAGGAAGAAGCTGAAGCAAAATTAATATAAAGAGTTTATTTGGGCCAAGGTTGAGGACTGCAGCCTGGTTGCCTTGGAGAATGTTCCAAAGAAAAAGGAAGAAGATAGAGTTTTTAAGTAAAAAAAAAAAAAAAAGAATCAGGAGGGGCGATTACAAAAGCAAAAGTTGTTTTTCAGGAATATCCGCTGGTTTACAAAAATAACATTGGCTAGTGATTGACTATACATTGCTGAACTCTATGGTGTACGGCATTTTATGGCTTCTTGATACTAGTTTGTCTAGAGAGCCTGGATAGCAAGTGCCTTCAAGAGGTAATTATTTAGCTCAAAGGGGAGTGAGACATGACTGCTGTTACATTTTAAATGCCTTTCTGGGCCTGACAATTTAAAGCAGCTCACATTCCTCAGATAAAAAATTGTGGTCTTTTTTCTTTCTCATTAATTTAAACGATATTTATTGAGCACTTACCATATTTAAGACATTACATTCACCTGATGCTAGAGATGAAGTGGTAAGCAGATTTGTTTCCTGTTTTTGCAAAGATTAATGATGACTAAGAACTAAACACACACAATAATCAAATATTCATTCTAAAAAATAGTTTTAAAAATTGGAATATAAAAGCTATAGGGAAAATTTGTGCTCCAATTCGAAACTATGTATTGTTTAAAGCACATTCTTAGTTGTCTGATTCTGTTTCTGTGAGGGCTCTGGGCTTTCATTGCCTTTGAGCTATTTTACGATTCCGTAAATTGGAGATGACTGATAGCAAAGACTATAATTCTGGTCTATAGATATGCAAATAAATTCTGTGCAGTGGAGAAATTATTCTTTTCTCCCCATGCCTCTGCTCCAGCTCCCGACCCTGATGAAAAAGCCAAGTTTGCAGCCAGCCATTTGCAAATTGATTTTAGTAAAGTCGAGCTACAAAAGTCTCTGCTTTTTTGACATGTGCTCATCTCATGTCTGCATAAGGTTTGTGAATTTAACTTTTTTGAAAGTGCCTTTTAACAAAGCAGATTTCAAAGTAGCTGGACTTACGCGGTTGTTGGTGGTGTCGGGGCAGTTAAGGCAGGATTCCCTGAGAATATGTTATTTTATCCAAAATATAAAGGTTTAGTAGGTGCTAATTAATGTCAGAGTGAAACAGCACTGGACACTTGTAAAAGACAGAAAGACAGGTTTTATTTTGAGTACTGCAGTGATGGAGAGATTCTAGTACAAACTGAGCTCAACTCCCACTGAGACAAAAGTAACTAGGTTTTTAAAGGGAGAACAGAGAGAAAACAGAAAAGATCTGTGGGAAAGTAAAAGAGGGAACAAAAAGAACTAGGGAACTATGGGGGAAGCAAATGGGGCAGAGTGAGGAGGAAATAGAAAATTACAGAAGGGGAGTAAGTGGAAAGTTACAGAAAATGGATTGAGACAAAATACATTTTGTGGTTCAGCAGCATTGCTCTTTCCTGAGCAAAGACTCTGCATGGGGGTTGGGGTTGTCTTTAGTGGCACAAGCTAGTTAGGTGGAAGCCAAGCTAAAGTCACCCTCTTACCACAATGTTGGGGAAGTCATTTGTGCCACATGAGACTTCACAGTTCAGATTAAGCACATTTATGGTGGATGGTTTCCTAGAAAGAAGGAATCAAATCTGTAAGGGCTCTGTGGTTGGGAGACCATATATATTTAAGAAAATAAAGTAAGGTGAGCTTGGCCACAGCAAGGAAAATTATGGCATGATTAGTGAGGATGCAGGAGTCATACCATGGAGGGCTCTGTAGCCCATGTTACAGGTTTTATTCTAATAATGTAAAATTAAGTTCTAGTGCTTCATCTATGAAGAACTAAAAGTTATTAAACAGGTTAGGTTGAGTTCATATTTCTGTTTTTAAAAAATCAAGCAAATACAATCTATAAAAGGGAGTGTTTGAAAGGGGTTAGAGTGGGCAAAACAAGATCAAGTAGAACTCTGTTGTAATTATCTAGGGAAAAATATAGGTGTACTTTGACTAAAAGTCAAGATCATAAAATTGTGGGAATCTCTAAAATATTTAAGAGGTAAAACCAATAGCCTTTGGCGATAGCTTGAATTTGGAAAAGATAAGGAATAAAAGTATTCCTGCATGAACAGCTGGTGTGACAGTTGTGTTTGTTTGTTCATTTGTTTTTGAAGCTCAGGAAAAATAGAAAGAACACATTTTAGAAAGTGAAGATCATGAATTCATTCTTAAACATTTTGAGGTACCATGCATGGCATGTAGATATGGCAATAGGAAATTGCGTAACTTTGTGTATCAGAGTTGAGTCCTGGATTGGGAATATAAATTTGGAATGTATTCATGTAGTTGATAACAGAAGCTAGTGCAGGGTTGTGAATAACTGGGGACTCTTGCAAGGACAGTATGGAGGTAAAAGAGATAAACTCTGCTAGTGGAAGAAACTTTAAAAATGTAAAGACTAGTAAAGAAGGGTAAGATTTTAAAACAAAGTTGAAAAGGAACAGACAGGGTAGAAAGAAAATGATGTATGTGTTATCAAAGGAGCCAAATAATGAAATGTTTTAAGGAGAACATTTTCAACAGTGTCAAAGAAGAGCACTTACAAATATTCAATAGGCCAATAAGTGCTTCTCAATGTTTGATCCCCAGAGTAGCAGCATCTGAAATGGTGAGAATATGTAATTGTTAGAAATGCAGATCTTAGATCAAAGCCTAGACCTGCTGAACCAGAAATTCTGAAAGTATTTTTGAAGAATCAGTGTTTTATTAAACTCTCCAAACAATTCTGTTGCATAGCAAACTTTGGGAACAATTGTATAGATGATGGAGTGTAGGTGATGGGGGATGCAGGTGAGCTTAACATCTACTATTTTCTTGGGGAGATGGAAATTAGAGCCAGATTAATATTGTGCAGAGGATTAATAAGAAGTGGTAAAATAGATGTCAGGAATAAAGAAAATTTAAACAATTTTGGCTTGAAAGGAGACGAGATCATTATGATAGCAACAGGAAGATATATGGTCAAAGGCTGGTTGGTTGCTTAGTTGATTGGTGATGGTTGTTGATGTTTTAATATTAAAGATATTTAAGAATAGTTAAAAGGCAACAAAAAAGAATCTAGCCTGAGGAACAAGTTTGAATATAAAATAAAATAAAAAAAATGTATTATAAATTCAAAAATTTCTTGAGAAGATTGAAAATAATAAAGTCCGAAGCAAGTATTTTGAAATTTAGCATTAAATTTTTAGTTGCTGTAGTGTAGATTTGGTAAACATTTTCTGTAAAGGACTAGTGTAAATATTTTTGGCTTCTAGGAACACACAGTCTCTGTTAAAACTACTCAACTTTGCCATTTAAGTGGGAAAGCAGACATTAACAACAGGTAAGAGAATGGACATTATTGTGTTCCAGTATAATTCTATTTGCCAAAACAAGCAGACAGCCATATTTGGCCCATATAATACAGTTTGCCAACTCTTCCTTTAAAGAATCAACAACAAAGAAACAGAGGCTGTTGTAGCTACAGCTGCAGATAGGCTTTTGTGTTTGTATATTTGTGGAATGAAGATGGAGGGGGTTGGCTTTTTCTGGTTGTTTCTACAATATCTATAACTTAGGAGAGATAATAATGTGTTGAGCTTGTGAATTTAGGAGGAATGATTACATGACAACAGAGCATTTTTAAAAGGTAATTTCAAAGTATGAGTTGATTTGGGAAAATTAACAGAATTCCTCAGGTGTTGGGGGTCATTTGAATTTTATGATGAACTTTGCTTGTTCTGATGAAACTTTCTCCAACAACTCTCACATGGAGAAAAGAGAAAGTTGAGTTTAGCCAGAGTGAGGATATTGCCAGTCCAATAAAAAAAAAAAAAGTTAAAGGTATAAGGGAGTTGGCAGTATTTTAAGTATTGTTGTTGAGCTCATAATCTGTGAAATCTAATCAAGAAATGAAGGATAGAAAATACTGCTGAATTAGCTGAATTAGGCAGTTTATTCTATTATAAACCTACATGCACTTGCATGTTCATTGTAGCACTATTCACAGCAGCAAAGACATTGAATGATAGACTGAATAAAGGAAATGTGGTATATATATACCATGGAATCCTATGCAGCCATAAAAAAGAATGAGATCATGTCCTTTGCAGCAGGGACATGGATGGAACTGGAAGCCATTATCCTCAGCAAACAAACACAGAAACAGAAAACCAAATACCACATATTCTCACTTATGAGTGGGAGCTGAACAATGAGAACACATGGACACAGGGAGGGGAGAAACATACATTGAGGCCTGTCGAGGCTAGTAGGAAAAAGACTGAATTCATGAAGTATTTGCCATTAGTGAAGTACAAGTGGTACAAGATTATGTTGAACTAAGAAAAATATCACAAAAGTTGCAATAGAGAAAAGAAGAGAGAAAATTGAAAAATCACACATTAGACTTAACACAAAAGAATCTGATCCGTATCAGTGATTTATCTTTAATTGGGTAACATAAGCCATCATATTAACTTTATTATTCTAATTTAAAATTTGTTTTTGTAGTTTTGTTTGTATTAAGTTGATCACGTATGTTAATATCACAGTGTTATGATGTGGCTAAAAAATTGTTACTATTGTCTTGCTTACACATATCTCACTGGTATAATTAAAATAATTTCATCAGAGAAGAAGTTTCAAATTTAAATAATGGTATTACGGTTGATATAAACATTTTAGATAATATAACTAAATAATAGTTCAGATGATAATTATGGGCCATATAGTGAAGATGAACATCTGTATGTGAATTAGAAAATAAACTCTAAAATAATTTAGGCAAGCTTTGGCTGCTGTGTTCCACCATTCTTGGATATATTCAAATCCCTCTGGAGTCCAAAAGCCCTAATTAAAGCTATGATTAACTAGTTACATTTTCATAACTGAGGTCTAATTATAAGTTCAGACATTTCCCTGCCTAACAAAGAAAAAGCCATTGCTGCTGACAGCTGCACAAGCTATAAACACTGAGAAATAAGTAAGGGAATTTGAAACAGCTCTGTGACATTGTCAGGGTAAAACCCTGCCGTTTCTTTTACTAGAGGTGAGAGAAGATGTATCACTAGGCACATGACAAGACACATCTTTATATGAGGATCAACCAGTCCTCATAGTTTGTAAACTTGTAACTGACAATTTACAAAAAAAAAAAAAAAGACTACAAACTATTGAAGTTTTAAATAAAAATAGAAATATTGCAATCACACAACATTCACAAAACTTTTCTGGGAAAACAATGTATTCATAGTGTTCTTGATTCCTTTATGTAATATTCTTTTGGGTTGCAAAGACAGTTAGCTTCAAGAACAGAATTTAGAGGTATCCCTGTGGCAGTATGATAAATTAAAAATATTTTATAATGTTAAACATCAGCATTTAAATTTCCAAATTTTGATGGAAAGAGCACAACAGACTGAAATTGATCTCTCCATCTCATACATAAGTTGAAATTCTGATCCCAATCTGATGGTGTTTGAAGTCCTGGTCTTTGGGTGGTAATGAGGTCACAGGGTGACCCTCGTGAATTGCATTAACGCTCTTATAAGAAATGGCTGAAGAGCTAGCTAGCTCTTTTTCCTCCATGTGAAGGTACAGGATAAGTAGACTGTCTGCAACATGGAAGAGGGTCCTCACCAGAACTTAACCACACTCATACCCATATCTTGGACTTCTAACCTTCAGAATGGTAAGAAGTAAGTTTTTGGTTTTTGTAAGCAACACAGTCTATGGTAATTTGTTTATAACAGCCATGCTCACTAAGACAGAAGTTGGTACCAATAAGTTGGGTGGTTCTGGAAAAAATATCTGAAATTGTGGAAGAGCTTTGGAACTGAGTCATGGGTAGAAGCTGGAAGAATTTTGAAGTGCATGCTAGAAAAACCTAAGATTGTCACTGAAGGGAATTAAGTGGATCTGGTAAAGACTCAAAAGGAAAAGATGGGAGCTTTAAGGAAAGCTTTATTCATCTTAAAGCATACATGAATACTTACGTACAGAATGTTGCTAGAAATATGGAAAATAAGTTCTTTTTTTTTTTCTTGGCAGAATCTCGCTCTGTTGCCCAGGCTGGAGTGCAATGGCACAATCTCGGCTCACTGCAACCTCCGCCTCCCAAGTTCAAGCAATTATCTGCCTCAGCCTCCCGAATAGCTGGGATTACAGTCGCCTGCCACTACGCAAGGTTAATTTTTGTATTTTTAGTAGAGATGAGGTTTCACCATCTTGGCCAGGCTGGTCTTGAACTCCTGACCTCGTGATCCACCCGCCTCAGCCTCCCAAAGTGCTGGGATTACAGGCGTGAGCCACCATGTCCTGGCTCCTTCTTCTTTATTTCTCCATTTTGGAATGGCAATGTCTATCTTATTTCTGTCACACCATTTTTTTTTAGAAGCGCATAACTTGTTTAATGTGATGGTTAGTTTTAGGTATCAACTTGACCGAATTAAGAAATAGCTAGAGAGCTAGTAAAGCATGATATCTGGGTGTGTCTGTGTGTGGCAGTGTTTGCAGAGGAGACAGGTGAATGAGTCAGTGGAATGGGTGGGGAAGATCTGTCCTTAATATGGGCAGGCATCATCCAACTGGCTGTGGGCCCAGACAGAACAAAAAGTCAAATGAAAGGCAATTTATTTTTCTCTGTCTTGGAACTGGGACACCAGTCTTCTCCTATCTTTGAACATTAGAATTGCAGGCTCTTTTGCTTTTCAACCCCAGGACTTATACCAGTAACCTCCTGGGGTTCTCAGGCCTTCAGCCTTGGCCTGAGAGTTACACCATCACTGCCCTGGTTCTGAGGCTTTTGGCCTTGACTGAGTCATGCTACTGGCATTTTAGGGTCTGCAACTTGCAGACGGCAAGCTGTTATAAGACCTTTTCAGAATCACATGGGCCAATTCCTCTAATAAATTTCTTCTCATATTTTTTCTTCCTTCCTTCATTCCTTCCTTCCTCTCTCTCCCTCTTTCTTTTTCTTTTCTTTTCTTTCCTTCCCTTCCTCCCTTCCTCCCTCCCTCCCTCCCTCCCTCCCTCCCTCCCTCCCTGCCTGCCTTCCTTTCTTCCTTCCTTCCTTTCTCTTTCTTTCTTTCTTTCTGTTTCTTTCGGTGTTTCTTTCTTTCCTTCCTTCCTTCCTTCCTTCCTTCCTTCCTTCCTTCCTTCCTTCCTTCCTTCCTTCCTTTCTTTCCTTCCTTCCTTCTTTCTTTCTCTTCTTTCTTTCTTTTCTCTCTCTCTTTTCTTTTCTTTTTCTATCAATTTACCTGTCCATCTATCTATCTTATTAGCTTTATCTCTCTGAAGAGCCCTAAAAAATACATGAGAGTTTACAGTTTCACAGCTAGATAAGAATTTTGTCTGAGGAACATTTGTACCTCAAATCCTAATCATATTGAATTCAGACAAGACTTTGGACTTTTAACTTTACAGTTGATGTTGGAGTGAGTTAATTTTGGGCCTATTGAGATGAAATGAATGCATTTGCATGTAGAAAGCACATGAATTCTGGGAAGCCAGAAGTGGAATGCAATGAACTGAATGTTTGTGTTCTCCCAAAATGCATATGTAGAAAATTTAATCTCAATGTGATGGTATTTGGGAGTAGGGATTTTGGAAGGTAATTAGGTCACGAAAGTAAAACCCTCGGGAATAAGATTTGTGACCTTAGAAGAGGCCAGTTAGCTTCCTCGCTTTTTAACTTGTGAGGACACAGGAAGAAGATGGTCCTTCAAAACTAGAAAGAAGTTCCTCATCAAAATCCCAACCATGCTGGAACCCTGATCTCAGACTTCCAGCATCCAAAATTGTAAAAATTAAAAATGTTTGTTGTTTAAGTTATCTGGTCTATAGCAATTTGTCATAGCAACCTGGACTAAGACAAACACGCATGGTGAAGTTTAATAAAATAATGAAAGTACATATTGTACTTGACTATTTCATTTTCATATTAAAATCTTTTTACTAAAAAACTGAAATTTTCTTTACAAAAACCAGGAGTCCTAAGATTGATATAATTTTATTTTAATTAGTGCATTTGCTAATTTCACCTTTTATAAATAAACTCATACTTTGGAGAGTTTTCCATTATGAGGTTTTATTTATACATTTATTCGACAAATATATGTGGAATTTGTTCAACAGCTAATATTAATCAGATGTTACCTTAGTCTGTTTGATCAAAGTGAATGCAATAGACACAGCCTTATTCAACTTTCAATCCAGAGGGATAGTTAGCCAGTAAAAAAATGTAATAAAAAAGATATCCTTTATTTCACTCATACTAAAATACACATAATTTTAATGTACGTTTTAACATCTCTGAACTTAGTATTCATTGCCTGATTAATAGAATATTCCTGTTGCTGTGGTCCAGAATGCAGTCTTTTAGTAAAAGTTATTATCTACCTATATATATATTGGTTTAGGCTGTTTATATATCATCAAAGCAGTGGAATTAGGTATTATTTTATTTGAAAAATGCCCCAAATATTAGGAAAAGTAATTCACAGATATAACAGTGCCTTTCAATAAAATAAAAATAAAATACAATAAAGGAAAGGGAATTTCCCTTCAACTTACAAATGAAAGAAAGAGCTGCCTACTGGGCAAAGGATAAGGGAAATGATTGAACCAGCTGAAATTTATAAGAAGTGGATGTGATAAGGCAGCCCTGCTTGGTATAGACAGAGGTGTCAACAATTAAAGAACACACTCATGAAAAAGTGTCTGCTTGTTACTCCTAGTGTAGTATCTGGAAAGCTACATCCATTGGTATTTCAGCACACAGGATATTTCAGAACTATTTGAAGAAGAAGTAAGAGTGCAGAATCTCGATGACTCCTGCTAAGATTCAGAACATGCTGACTTCAAAATTTGCAAAATATGTGCCAACAGCTGACTTAAAAATTGGGAAACATAGGCAAAGCAATATTTGAATAAATTATTTCTTTCTTTCCTGCATTTGCCAATCCCTTAACAGTGGGAAGGACATTGTTGCATGAAAAACATGAACAGCAATATCTGCATCAAAATACAACTTAGGAAAGTTGAACTTCGAATTCAAGGTTTAGGTTAAAGTTAAGGTTAAACTTCACCATTTATTTTACATATAGTTACATTTTTACATGGATAAGATAATAATTGTTGAATAAGATTCAAAGTATCCTTTTCTAAAGTCTAAAAAATTATGGGTGATACAAAAGCAATATATCATTATGTAGCAAAGTTGCTGTTTTCCCAGCACCATATGCAATAACTCTGGGCCACCAATGAGATACCAGCTTAATGAAATATACGGTAATTTAAATATCTGCTTGAAGAAAACTGGGTAAGGGATAATACTCTAAGATGGAGAATGCTTTGCAAAGAATTATCAGGCGAGTTTTTTGATAAAGTGACATTTATTTTAAGAACTGAAGAATAAGAAGAGTTTGCTTTGAAATTATAGATTTGTCATAGAATTTGCCCAAATGTAGTCAATTCTGAGGAAAAAGGAGACACTCTTTAAAATGTTGGGTCTTACCCAGAAAACCAATGAGCATGATCATGCTAAACAAAATAGAAGTGAAGACTGTGGAAGGCAGAGGAAAATCTGCAATAATGGAGAAAAAGTTTGGCATGTAAGTGTAACCCAAGACCATTTTCCTAGACTCTAATAGAAATGGAGAGAGTGCTATTGAGATGAAGTACAAATGACAAATGGGACAAGAGAAAGCATTGACCTTACTAGCCTAATGTAAAGAGCCAATGCTTTATTCCAAGTGCAGTATAAAAATATTTTAGTTGAAATATTCTAGCTACTTTGTGGAGAATGGATTGGAAGGATCAAGAGAGACATCTAGAGATGAGTTTGGAGGCTATTGCAATAAGCCATAGAAGAGATCAACTAAGGTGAAGACAGTGGAGATCAGAAAAAAGTGGATAGATTATAAATAAAATAATAAAATATAAGAAAGACTGATGCTTGAATATAATGGCTGAGGTAGAAAAAGTAACTGAAAAATTGCTCCAATTTTTCTTGCATGAATATCTGGATGAATTCCAGCACTATTTTCTGATATGTAGTATTTTCAAGGAGAAAAAGATTTGGGGAGAGAAATGACCATTTCTACTTAGTATATGCTTACAATGCATGAAAGACATCTACATGAAGATGTCAAGTATAAATTTAGATATACGAGACTGGTACTCAGAGGAAAAGTTAAGGCTAAAGAGGTAACAGAAGAACGCATCAGCACAATATGTTGGCTAAAGCAACAAACCAACAAACTGTTTATTTTACCTAAGGAGATGGTAGAAAAAGATAAGAAAACAAAGATCTGATGTATGCCAATGAAATAGGGAAATCTGTAAAAAGGTCTGGCAAAGTAAGGTGAACAAAACATATATGTAAAACCACTAAAGATCTTCATTTCAGGGAACCCAAGAAGATTATTGCAAGAGAAAGAAAGAATGGTTGAATTTATCAATTGCTGTTGAATCATTTAATAAGATGAGGTAAGAGGAATTTCCAATCAATTTGACAATAAAATTGATATGGTTTGGTTCTGTGTTCAACTCTCATCTTAAATTGTAAATCCCATGTGTTGAGGGAGGGACCTGATGGGAGGTGATTGGATCATTGGGCCGTTCCCCCATGATGTTCTTCTGATAGTGAGGGAGTTCTCATGAGGTATGGTGGTTTAAAAGTGGCAGTTTCCCCTGTGCTATCTCCCTCTCTTGCTGTCCTGTGAAGAAGGTGCTTGCTTCTCCTTCACCTTTCACCATGATTGTACATTTCCTGAGGCCTCCCAAGACATATGGAACTGTGAGTCAACTAAACATCTTTTCTTCATAAATTACTCAGTCTCAGATAGTATCTTTATAGCAGTGTGAAAATGGACAAGTACATAGAATTGGTACCTTCAGAGTTGGGTACTGCTATAAAGATAACCTGAAAATGTGGAAGCAACTTTGGAACTAGCTAACAGGCAGAGATTGGAACAGTTTGGAGGGCTCAGAAGAAGATAAGAAGAGGTGGGACAGTTTGAAACTTCCTAGAGAGTTGTTGAATGGTTTTGACCAAAATGCTGATAGTGATATGGACAAGGAAGTCCAGGCTGAGGTGGTCTCAGATGAAGATGAGAAACTTACTGAAAACTGGAGAAAGGTCACTCTTGCTATGCTTTAACAAAGAGGCTGGCAGCATTTTGCTCCTGCCCTAGAGACCTGTGGAACTTTGAACTTGAGAGAGATGATTTAGGGTATCTGGCCGAAGAAATTTCTAAGCAGCAAAATGTTCAAGATGTGAACAGGCTTTTTCTGAAAACATTCAGTCATATGCATCTACAAAGAGACAGTTTAAAATTTGAATTTATGTATAAAAGGGAAGTAGAACACAAAGGTTTTGAAAATTTGAAGCCTTACTATGTGGTAGAAAAGAAAAATCCATTTACTGGGGAACAACTCAAGCCAGTTGCAAAAATTTGCCTAAATAATAAGAAGCTGAATGTTAGTAGCCAAGACAATGTGGAAAATGTCTTTAAGGCATGCCAGAGATCTTCACAGCAGCCCCTCCCATCACAGGCCTGGAGGCCCAAGAAGGAAAAATGGTTTCATGGACCAGGCCCAGGACTCTGTGGCTCTGTGCCACCCCATGACATGGCACCCTGCATCCCAGCCACTCCAGCTCCAGCGGTGGCTACAAGGGGCTAAGATACAGCTCAGATTGTTGCTTCAGAGGGTGCAAGCTCCAAGCATTGGTGACTTCCACGTGGTGCTGAGCCTGCAGGTGTGCAGAAGACAAGAGTTGATGTTTGAGAACCTCCACCTAGATTTCAGAGGATGTATGAGAATGCATGGATGTCCAGCCAGAAGCTGTTCCTGGGGTGGAGCCCCCATGGAGAACCTCTGCTAGGACAGTGCAAAAAGCAAATGTGGGGTTGTAGCCCCCACCCAGTCCCCACTGGGGCACTGTGTAGTGGAGATGCAAGAAGAGGGCCATCATCCTTCAGCACCCAGAATGGTAGATCCACCAGCAGCTTGTAACCCAGCACCTGAAAAAGCTGTAGGCACTCAATGCCAGCCATGAAAGAAGCCACAGGGTCTGTACCTTCCAGAGCCACAGGGGTGGAGCTTCCCAGGGCCACTGGAGCTCACCATTTACATCAGCATGCCCTGGACATGAGATATGGAGTCAAAGGAGATTTTGGAGCTTTAAGATTTAATGACTATCCTGCCCTTTGGACTTGCATGGGGCCTGTGGCCCCTTTGCTTTGGCTAATTCCTCCCATTTGGAATGGCAACATTTACTCAATGCCTGTACTTGGAAGTAATTAACTTGACTTTGATTTTACAGGATCATTGGCTGAAGGGACTTGCCTTGGCTCAGATGAGACTTTGGACTTGGACTTTGGAGTTAATGCTGGAATAAGTTAAGTCTTTGGGGGATTGGGAAGGCATGATTTTTTTTGAAATGTGAAAAGCACATGAGATTTGAGAGGGACCAGGGGTGAAAGTGAAATGATATGATTTGGCTCTGTATCCTCACCGAAAGCTCATCTCTAATTGTAATTCTCATGTAATGAGGGAGTAAACTTTGGAGAGGTGATTGAATCATGGGGGTGGTTTCCACCATGCTGTTCTCATGATAGTAAGAGAGTTCTCATGAGATCTGATGGTTTAAAGAGTCAGTTTCCCCAAGTTCTCTTTCTCTCCTGTGACCCTTTGAAAAAGTTGCTTGTTTCCCTTTCACCCACCAGCATGATTGTAAGTTTCCTGAGGCCTCCCCAGCCATGTGGAACTGTGAGTCAGTTAAACATATTTTCTTTATAAATTACCCAGTCTCAGATATTATATTTATAGCAGTGTGAGAACTAATACAAAGTTATTGAAAATATGCACATATAGTAGAATCTGAATCAAACTAGCTGGACAGATAAGTAAATGGCAGATTGAGAAGTTAAGATAAGATAGTGTGGGTAGCAATTATCTCAAACAATGTCAAGAAAGGCAACCAGAAGAATGAGGTCCAAGATGGAAATCAATTTGGTGTCAAGAGGGAGAATTATATTTATTATCATTATTGCTATTATTTTAATGGGAATGTCCTATCATAAAGATATATTCTTAGATGAGAAGAGAGGGCAAGATATAGCAGATAGAGAGAGCTCAATTGAATATGAGACTGCAAGAAGCAAAGCTACTGAGAAAGTAAGAAAACTCTGAGTATAAGAGCAAAGGTTGCTTTTAGGCCATGGAGACACAGTTGTGTGGGGAGAATGGCACCTCACAGACCTCCAACTGCAAAACCCATAATTGAATAAGTTCCCCTGCTGCTGAGTCCCAATACCCATCACTGCATTGGGACCAAGGCTATGCCTTTTTATGGGTGCTTCCTAGCCCCTGACTGAGTCCAGGAGCAGTGTGAATGCAGGCCCATTCCTGGCAGATATGGAATTGCTTAGGCTGTGGACTTTGGCATGAGGACTCCTCAGTGGTTATTTTCCAAACGTTCCTTAGACCCAAAGTCCTGGAGATGTCACCTTCCTTTCCTTCCTTTCCTTCAATTAGGGTTAGACCTGCCTTGGTGTTTAACAGTTTCCCCATCATCACACATCCCTCTTCTGATTTCCTCTCACATAACTGGTTTCAGGTTCCTTTGATAAAATCTGTGGGTGAAATTTAATAAAAGTCCTGTCTTGTGCTTCACAGGCTGTGGACTGATGCAAGTAGTAGCACTGAAAGTATTCTGAAAAAAATAAGCAGTAAAATGTGGATTTGAAATGTAGTTACTGGACCTATGTATTCTATTATGGACACAGCATCAATTAGAGGCCCCGGACTTAATAAATACACTTGTCCTGAAGGAGGGCATCTTGTTCTTTCAGGATGTTGCCTTTCAACTGGTATTTCAGCTCTGCCTTTAGAAGGTTGTTCAAACATTCTTTGAGGGCACCTGTCTCTGGATGTATTAGTCAGAGTTCTCTGAAGGTGAGAGGTGAAGCTGTCTGGGCTTCAGGGTCAGGTGGGGACTTGGATAACTTTTCTGTCTAGCTAAAGGATTATAAGCACACCAATCAGCGCTCTGTGTCTAGCTAAAGGTTTGTAAATGCACCAATCAGCACTCTGTAAAAATGCACCAATCAGCACTCTGTGTCTAGCTAAAGGTTTGTAAGCACACCAATCAGCACTCTATAAAAACAGAATAATCAGCACTCTATAAAATGGACCAATCAGCAGGATGTGGGCAGGGCCAAATAAGGGAATAAAAGCTGGCCACCTGAGCCAGCAGCGGCAACCCACTGGGGTCTCCTTCCATGCTGTGGAAGCTTTGTTCTTTCACTCTTCATGATAAATCTTGCTGCTGCTCACTCTTTGGGTCTGTACTACCTTTATGAGCTGTAGCACTCACTGCAAAGGTCTGCAGCTTCACTCCTGAAGTCAGCAAGACCATGAACCCACCCATCTCTGGATGTGCCACCTTTAAGAGTTGTAACACTCACTGCGAAGGTCTGTGGCTTCACTCCTGAAGTCAGTGAGACCACAAACCAACCAGGAGGGAAAAACAACTCTGGATGCACCACCTTTAAGAGCTGTAACACTCACTGCAAACGTCTGGGGCTTCACTCCTGAAGTCAAGTGAGACCATGAACCCACCAGAAGGAAGAAACTCTGGACACATCTGAACATCTGGAGGAACAAACTCTGGAAACACCATCCTTAAGAACTGTAACACTCACCGTGAGGGTCCATGACTTCATTCTTGAAGTCAGCAAGACCAAGAACCCACTGGAAGGAACCGATTCAGGACACATTTTGGCAACCATGAAGGGATTATCACCAAGCGGTGAGTACCATAGGACCCCTTTTGCTTGCTATTCTGTCTTATTTCTCCTTAGAACTCAGGGGCTAAATACCGGGCAACTGTTGGCCAGTTAAAAGCGACTAGCATGGCTGCCAGGCTAAACACACGGGTGTCAGGCTTTCTGGGAAGACTCTCTAACAACCCCCGACTCTTTGGAGTTGGGAGCATTGGTTTGCCTGGAACCAGCTTCCTCTTTTCCTGTACTTCTGGGCTGAGCTGAGGTCGACAGAGAGGAAAGCCATTCAGATCCGGGGTCCCGACAAGTTGGTTGAACCTGCAGCCATGAGCAGAACCTCAAAGTCATGTCACCCAAGTGAGACTCGCCCATCTATCCTATCTGTCCTGACCCTTGCCTCCTGGGTCCTAATGCTTGTCAGAAAAACTTCCTCTCACCTCTCTTCTCTGAGGCTAGTCCTGGTTCTAAAAACCACTCCGTCTCTGGTGCTTTTCTAGTTTCTCCTATAAGAATGATTTCTAGTATAAAATCCAGGACTCTATTCCCTTCTTTAGACATCTGAGCTCACCGATCAGAAAGACATAATTTTTGCCCAAAGCCCCATTGTAGGGGGCACCATCTGGAATTTTAGGATCCCTCCTCAGACAAGCAGGCCTAACAAAACCTATTCCTGAACCTAGGATGTAGGGAGCCTCAGAAATTGTATCCTTCCTATTCATATAAGTGAGGACAAAAGGCATCACTCTTCCAACTCTGGAGATCCCTCCACTCCCTCAGGGTATGGCCCTCCACTTCATTTTTGGGGCATAACATCTTTATAGGACACAGGTAAAGTCCCAGTACTAACAGAAGAATGCTTAGGACTCTAACAGGTTTTCAAGGATGCATCAGTAAGGGCCACTAAATCTGATTTTTCTCAGTCCTCTTTGTGGTCTAGGACAGGTAAGGATGCAGGTTTTCGAGAATGCATCAGTAAGGGCCACTAAATTTGACACTCCTTGGTCCTCCTTGTGGTCTAGGAGGAAAACTAGTGTTTCTGCTGTTGCGTCGGTGAGAGCAACTTTTCCAATCAGCAGGGTACAGGGACCATTTCAGGTTCTTGGGCAAGAGGTGTTTCTGCTGCTGTGTCAGTGAGTGCAACTATTCTGATCAGCAGGGTCCAGGGACCATTGTGGGTTCTTGGGTAAGAGGTGTTTTTACTGCTGCATTGGTGAGTGCAACTATTCCGATCAACAGGGTCCACGGACTGTTGCGGGTTCTTGGGCAGGGAGAGAAACAAATAAACCAAAACTGTGGGTGGTTTTGCCTTCAGATGGGAAACACTCAGGCATCAACAGGCTCACCTTTGAAATGCATCCTAAGCCACTGGGAACAATCTGACCCGCAAACCCTGAAAAAGAGGTGGTTCATTTTTTTCTGCACTATGGCTGGGCCCCAATATTCGAAAAATGGCCACCTGAGGGAAGTACAAATTACAATACTATCCTGCAGCTTGACCTTTTCTGTTAGAGGGAAGGCAAATGGAGTGAAATACCTTATGTCCAAGCTTTCTTTTCATTGAAGGAGAATACGCAACTATGCAAAGCTTGCAATTTACAACCCACAGGAGTACTTCTCAGCTTACCTCCATATCCTAGCCTCCCTATAGCTCCCCTTCCTATTACTAAGCCTCTTCCAATCTCCCCCACTCAGAAGGAAATAAGCAAAGAAATCTCCAAAGGACCACAAAAACTCCCATGCTATCAGTTATGTCCCTTTCAAGCTGTAGGAGGAGGGGAATTTGGCCCAACCCGGGTACGTGTCCCCTTCTCCCTCTCTGATTTAAGGCAGATCAAGGCAGGCCTGGGGAAGTTTTCAGATGATCCTGATAGGTACATAGATGTCCTACAGGGCCTAGGGCAAACCTTCTCTCTCACTTGGAGAGATGTCATGCTATTGTTAGATCAAACCCTGGCCTTTAATGAAAAGAATGCAGCTTTAGCTGCAGCCCCAGAGTTTGGAGATACCTGGTATCTTAGTCAAATAAATGATAGAATGACAGCCGAAGAAAGGGCCAAATTCCCTATGGGTCAGCAAGCCTTCTCCAGTATGGATTCCCACTGGGACCTCAACTTGGATCATGGGGACTGGAGTCGTAAATATCTGTTGACCTGTGTTCTGGAAGGACTAAGGAGAATTAGGAAAAAGCCCATGAATTATTCAAAGATGTCCACCATAACTCAGGGAAAGGAAGAAAATCCTTCTGCCTTCCTTGAGTGGCTATGGGAGGCCTTAAGAAAATATACTCCCCTGTCACCCCACTCACTAGAGGGTCAATTGATCCTAAGAGATAAGCTTATTACCCAATCAGCTGCAGATATCAGGAGAAAGCTCCAAAAGTGAGCCCTGGGCCCTGAACAAAATCTGGAGGCACTATTAGACCTAGCAACCTCTGTGTTCTATAATAGGGACCAAGAGGAACAGGCCAAAAAGGAAAAGCGAGGTCAGAGAAAGGCTGCAGCCTTAGTCATGGCCGTCAGACAAACAAACCTTGGTGGTTCAGAAAGGACAGAAAATCACCCAGTAAGGCTTGTTATCAGTGTAGTTTACAGGGACTCTTTAAAAAAGATTGTCCATTGAGAAACAAGCCATCCCCTCGCCCATGTCCACTATGCCAAGGCAATCACTGTAAGGTGCACTGCCCCAGAGTGCAATGGTTCTCTGAGCCAGAAGCCCCCAACCGGATGATCCAACAACAGGACTGAGGGTGCCTGGGGCAAGCACCAGCTCATGTCATCATCCTCATTGAGCCCCGGGTACGCTTAACCATTGAGGGCCAGGAAATTGACTTCCTCCTGTGCACTGGTGGGCCTTCTCAGTGTTAATCTCCTGTCATGGACAACCATCCTCAAAGTCCGTTACCATCTGAGGAATCCTGGGACAGCCTGTAACCAGGTATTTCTCCCACCTCCTCAGTTGTAATTGGGAGACTTTGCTCTTTTCACTTGCCTTTCTCGTTATGCCTGAAAGTCCCACACCCTTATTAGGGAGAGATTTAGTAGCCAATGCTGGAGCTATTATCTACATGAATGTGGGGAATAAGTTACCAATTTGTTGTCCCCTACTTGAGGAGGGAATCAACCCTGAAGTCTGGGCATTGGAAGGACAATTTGGAAGGGCAAAAAATGCCTGCCCAGTTAAAAGATGTCACCACTTTTCCTTATCAAAGGCAATATCCCTTAAGGCCTGAAGTTCATAAAGGATTACAGGATATTGTTAAACAACTAAAAGCTCAAGGCTTAATAAGGAAATGCAGCAATCCCTGCAACACCCCAATTCTAGGAGTACAAAAACCGAATGGTCAGTGGAGACTAGTGCAAGATCTGAGACTCATCAATGAGGCAGTAATTCCTCTATATCCAGTTGTACCCAACCCCTATACCCTGCTCTCTCAAATACCAGAGGAAGCAGAGTGGTTCATGGTTCTGGACCTCAAGGATGCCTTTTTCTGTATTCCCCTGCACTCTGACTCCCAGTTTCTCGTTGCCTTTGAGGATCCCACAGACCACATGTCCCAACTTACGTGGAACGTGTTGCCCCAAGGGTTTAGGGATAGCCCCCATATGTTTGGTCAGGCACTGGCCCAAGATCTAGGCCACTTCTCAAGTCCAGGCACTCTGGTCCTTCAATATGTGGATGATTTGCTTTTGGATAGCAGTTCGGAAGCCTCATGCCAGCAGGCTATTTTTAGATCTCTTGAACTTTCTAGCTAATCAAGGGTACAAGGTGTCTAGGTCAAATGCCCAGCTTTGCCTACAGCACGTCAAATATCTAGGCCTAATCTTAGCCAGAGGAACCAGGGCCCTCAGCAAGGAATGAATACAGCCTATACTGGCTTATCCTCACCCTAAGACATTAAAACAGTTGTGGGGGTTCCTTGGAATCACCGGCTTTTGCTGACTATGGATTCCTGGATACAGCGAGATGGCCAGACCACTATACACTCTAATCATGGAGACCCAGAAGGCAAATACTCATCTAGTAGAATGGGAACCAGGGGCTGAAACAGCCTTCAAAACCTTAAAGCAGGCCCTAGTACAAGCTCCAGCTTTAAGCCTTCCCAGACTCAATTAAATCTTTTTACTTTATAAATTACCCAGTCATAAGTATGTTTTTATTAGCAGTGTGAGAATGGACTCATACACAAGATGAATTTGGGGCATATACAAGCCAACTAATATCTGTCACAATAAGTGTCCAATATTCCAGTATAGCTTGGAGAACTGTCAAATGTGTGGCAAAGGGAGAGGCTAAAGAGAGGGCAGGCATTTTAGAATGTGTCCCAAGCAATCCTGCTACAATCCCACCACTCATACCTGGACAATTTAGAATGTTTTTAGTAGTTTACTTCATAGAGGGTAACAATGTTTCTTACCAAGTGACCCTCACTGTTACTGCCAACATGAACAATATTCAAATGTTACACTCAAATGGGCTCATAGAAAATTTAACCCAGTTGTATCTACTATCTTGCCTTATAGGGGAAATCATTAAATTATGTATTTCATATTTCTATTATATAAACAGATATACTAAGCTAGTGCTGCCTAGCTAAAATGTTTTTACAATGATCAAGATGACCCTCCCTTAATAGATGCAGAATTGTTCCTTTGGCTATGGTAATAGCCGTTTGTCACAAATTGATTGAGACAATTCAGATAAGATCTGATTCAGTGGTTAAGACTGAAATAACCATAAAATTGCAAAGTCAATTCAATTAATTTAACAGTCCTAATGACTAAATCGGATTGCATTAATGTACCTAGGTTGGGGATGACCTAAGTCAAAGCAGTTGGCTATTACTTTTGTTTAGAGATGAAAATTAATCAGTTGTGGAAGATCCTCATATAAACAGTCCTATTCAGCTAGTTGGAATTGAATCTGTTACTCTACAAAATTAAATGTAGTATTTTCTCTGATTTAGAAAGTTGAATAGTGGTGTGAGAACAATGCAGATTTTCAGAAATCAAAATATTATATTATTTTTATGGGTATTAGAAATAATTCAGAAAAATTTGGTTATATAAAAAGGTTCTCAAAGTGTCTATTTTCTGGAAATCAGATAGTAATACAGATTTTTTCCTTCTGTTTTCAATCAGCTGCTCTCAGTATTATAATAAAAATCAATCAGTAATGATAATTATTTATACAAATAGAACTCTTCAGACTGTGACCATTAAAATGATTATTGACTTGTCAAACTACAGCCCATGCTACCATTGGTGACATTGAGGGATTGACTGACTAAAACTCAATTAAGTGAAACTTAATTGGAAATATGTATTTTTATTACATTTTACCAATATTTTGAATGGATAATGATAAAGCCTTCTGACCCAACCAGAATTAAACTATAACAGCTGTGATATCTCAATCCCAACCCATGTTGAATGAGCCCAGCACTTAGAACATCTGTTCTGCAATAAAAGAAGGCTAATTACTGCAATCTCAGTGACAGTCGAGTAGAACTACCAGATTCCAACAAAGAGAAAGAAAAAGCAAGTTGGAAGAATTTAGCATTCCCTAAAGTAAAAGCATTTTTTTAAGGCAAAAAATAATTTTACAGTAAACTATTTTATAATTTTCAGGTGTTTACACATACTTGAATCTATATGCTCTAAATATACATATATATGTGTATATGAATAGATAAATATATAAACCAACTTAGTTTGTGGATTCCTCAAAGTAGAATCGGAAGGCTGGGTCATAGCTGGGTCACAAGCACCTCTGGGAATCTTATGCACCATTTTCAAAGGAAATAAAATATACATTCAGAAAATAGTTTTAAGGCATTCCTTATTCCGACATTCCCATGCTCATCCATGTAAGATTAAAATACCTGTTTTAGAATGCAGGTTTTATTTGTGTGTGCTTGTGTGTGTGTGCTCATGTTAGGAAACAATAAAAATGATGAGTAAAAAGGAGCATAATATCTATAATTAAAATTAATTATATTACAATGCATGGACCCTTGATTCTGAACTTCCTATCATTGTTCTGTATACATTATACTGTTTATTTCCTCCAGGCTTTCCTCTAAAGTTCTTCTGTGTGAATATCTGCCATTCTTAATTTTTAATTTCACTCATCAGTTTCTACAAAAAGAATGCCCCTCAAACTTTTCTCTCTAAAAGCTAACTGTAGTCATTTACATCTTTTATCCCATGCATACATGACTAAAATTTAGCACTTGCCATTCTCTATTGTAATTAAATTTAATAATTACTTCCTTCCCACCCAGTTGACTGTAATCTTTTCTTAGCAGAAACTGGGTGCTATTGTATTTTGTAAACCTGTCACCTAGTAGAAAACTGTGCACTCAACATATGTTGACTACATAGATAAATTCAATTGAGAGGATCCCTGGTGTGGTGAAAAGAGTATAGAAGCTTTGGTGTTAGAGCATTCTGGGTTAAAATGTCAACTCTATTGGTTCACAGTTCTGTGGCATTATGTAAGGAAGGTAATATTTCCCTGTCACAAGTATTAACTCAGTTGGAAAACTGGGCTAATGTTGAATATAACTTTATGAGATTGGTTTTCATAATAACAATAAAGTATTTTAATGTAACAAATGTGGAGAAATTAAATAAATATTATTTTTCTCTCTTCCTATTACTAGGGTCACATTAGTTTACTGAAATTAAAAAGGGAAAACTTTAAAGGGAGATCTGACCTTTGAAAAATTAATTGATCGAAGTCAGTAACCAGTATCTATTTGTAGTTGCCTTAATTTGTGGTTATTTAATCACTGCTTTGGACTCTGGTAAGAGTGCAGTTATACTTCTTATTTATAACACAACTACATAAAAATTATAGTTTGTAGTGAAATTATACTTTTCAGTAAAAAAGCGAAATTATTTTAAAGCTTCTAGTTTTAAGAGATTTACTTTAAAATGCCCTTAAATTTATGAGTATTTTTAGAAGTGTAGGCTTTGTTGATGTATATATTAATTCAAGAGACTCTTTAAGAAATCAGAATAATTTACAAAAACAGTAGTATAAATATAATGAGAGAAAGTAAAAGCAAACTTTGAAACTGAATTTGGTAAGAAGTGTTCAAGAATATATAATTTTAGTCACAACATTTTTGCAATACTTTTTAAAGCTTGAGGCAATACAGAACTTTGGTCTAGCACATAATATGGCTGTTTATAAATAATTTTCCTCACTGTTGGGTGCCAATAGACTCATGGCCACTCAGCCAAAAAATTTCAAAATTACTACCTTACGTGATCATTTTTGTCATTTAGGTTTTCAGAGAAACTGAAGTAAGTACAAATGCTATTTTGACAAAAATGTGTTTGTCAGAAGCCACCATCTTAAAATTTGAAAATCAGAGTTTCTGAGTTTTTTATTTTATTTTAATTTCAAAAGTAGATCATTATTATTATGGATGATTAAAAATGTTTACATTATAAAGTTTCTTAAAAATTATTCTGCATAAGTTTCGGAAGAGTAGTTTTCCTTTTCTGTAGTTTTACAGAAAGCAAATTCACTCATAAGGATATATTTTTGTTAAATATAGAGATAATAATATGAAACAGCAATTTCACTCATAGATATCTACCCAAGAGAAATTAAAACATATATCTACACAGAACTTTTACACAATTGCTCATAGCAGCGTTATTTGTAATTGTCAAGAAATAGAAATAGCCCAGCTATCCACCAATTGATGAATAAAGACATAAAATGTAATGTTTTCACACAATAGGCTACTATTTAGCAATAAAAATGAGTGAAGGATGTATGCATGCTACAACTATGAGGTATGTGAAAAGAGTCACTGAAGACAACATACCATATGATCCTATTTGTATAAAATTACTAGAATTGACAAATCTACAGAAGCAGAATATAAAGGCATGATTTTCAGGAGTTGAAGGAGTGATGTGGGGGAAGGACATGATTATTAATCAGCATAAAATTCATTTTTGGGATGACAAAAATGTTCTGAATTAGAATGAATTAATGATTGAACAACGGAAAATATACAAAAAATCATTGAATCGTATACTCAAAACAGGTGAATTTTATATTATAAAAATTATATCTCAATAAATCTTTTAAAATATATTTTAAATGTATATATAATTTTCAAAGATTAAAGCAACTTGTACTGTGTAGTATAATTATTTTATATTTTAATAAAAAATGCAAGGAAAAATAAATATCAGTTTCCAATAACAGTAAGTCACCTCCTCAAACACTTTATTCTAAAATATTCAAGGTTTAATATTTTAATGAACCTATCTTTATATTAAAATATAATCATGGTAAATAAAAACTAGTTATTAGTTTGAAATATATAGAAGTTTAAATACTTTAAATATTACCTAAATCTTTCTGTTAACAGACTAAGATTTGCTTTTTTATTTTAATATACAACAAGGTAATTTCTAAGTAGGCTTTTTCATCATTGGAGTAATTTATTAAAATAAAGTAATACATTTTAAGGAATTATAATTGGCTATCACACAGACACTTGCATAGCAAAGGAAGCTGTATTCAACCACATTTTATTAAAGATTTGTATTTACTTTGTCATCATTTTCTAATTCTTTCTTCCATGGCAAGTTAGCCTTGTTCCTATCAAAACATTAAAGTTTATTGTTACATTATCATGGACTACTTATTCTTCCCAGTATTTTCAGTGTCCATTGAGTTGAAGACGTTTTTGCATCATCTCTGTCAGAGTCTGTGACACACTTCCATGTCCCATGAGGTCACCTTTTCTGGATACAGCTTAGTTCTACTTGTTAATACTCTGAGGAAAGCTCAGTTTCAAGGACATCAGCTCAGCTTGTCACTACATTCAGTTTGGATACAGAATGGACTGTGTCTTATCGGTGTTGCAGGTTTCTAATCCCACAAGAACTCTCCTCCCAACAATCAGTGATGTCAAGGACAGTCAAGTCAATGTCTTTCTTTTCTAATTTTAACACATTCACCCAAGATTTTCTTATCTTTATCCTCAAACAAACAAATACTTTGTCCTTACGAACATTCTTTCCATGGCTGATATTCTATCTAACCACTTCATTCTGTTCATAATTCCTTATCCACTACTCATCTTTTTTATTTAAAATGTATTTTATAGGTAATTGTTCTCACAGTAGGATTACAAAAGGCTGAAACATTCTAAAATACAGCACATAAGCCTCCCAGGTTATTATGACTAAAGAACTTTGTGAGAAAGTTTGTTAAAAACAGAATCTGTGTGCAAAACTTAATCTAATGAAATTTCCCTGAGATTTCAAAAAAGGGGGCTGTGCAGCAAAAAGTTGGCTCTGATTTATAATTACATTTTAGCCGAACTCTCTACTGATTTTTACATAGGATGAAAAAATAAAAAGAAAAGACAAAAAAAAGTTTAAACTTTTTTCAACAATCTCTGTGAAACTAAAGGCAAAATGCCTTAAAACAGTGGAACACTAAGGCAAGTGAGATAGAAATATCTCCCTGACTTTTCAGATTGAGTATGCCTCATCTTTTCAATGACACTAATATATCCCTAGGGATAAAAGTACTGGTAGCTTTAGAGGTTAGACTATAGAGTAGTCGAAGTTTGGTGGGTAGATACAGGGATAGTAGTCAAGGATGTTGGAGTAGTCAGGGATATTGGGGGTTCAGGGATATCAGGGGGTTCAGGGTTCAGGGATATCAGGGTAGTCAGGGATATTGGGGGTTCAGCTTCAAACCGTCACAATAAAGCAAATATTGCAGTGAAGTGAGTCACACAAAGTTTTTTCTTCCTAGTGCATATAAAAGTTACATTTACACTATAGCATAGTCTACTAAGTGTATAATACCATTATGTCTATAAAAGTAAGGTATACACCTTAAATTAAAAAAAATACTTTACTGCAATAAAACACTAGTGATTATATAAGCCTTCAGTGAATCCTAATCTTTTTGCTGGTGGAAGATCTTGCCTTGGTGTTGATATCTGCTAATGGATCAGAATGATGGTTGCTGATGGTTGGGTTGGCTGTGGCAATTTCTTAAAATACAACAATAAATATTGCTGCATCAACTCACTTTTCTTTCTACAAATGACTTTTCTGTAGCATGTGATGTTGTTTGATAGCATTTTACCCACAACAAAACTTTCAAAATTAGAGTAAATCTTCTCTTACCTTGCCCCTGCTTTACAACTAAGTTTATGTAATATTCTAAATCAGTTATTTTCATTTCAATAATGTTCAAAATATCTTCACCAAGAGTAGATTTTATCTCAAGAAACCACTTCCTTTACTCATCTATAGAAGCAACTTCTCATCTCTTTGTTTCATCACAAGATTGTAGTAATTCAGTAACATGTTCAGGCACCACCTCTAATTCTAAGTTATCTTGCTATTTCCATTACATCTGCAGTTACTTTCTCCACTGAAGTCTTGAACCCTCAAAATTTTCCACGAGGGTTGGAATCATCTTTAAAACTCCTGTTAACATTGACATTTTGATTGCTTGCCATAAATCACTAATTTTCTAAATGGCATCCAGAATGACGAACTATTTCCAGATTTTAAATTTTTATCACCTGGGCCCATTAGAGGACTCACTGTTAATGGCAGCTATAGCCTAACAAAAAAATATTTCTTAAATGAGACTTGAAAGTCAAAATTATTCCTTGATCCATGGGCTTTAGAATATATGTTGTTTTGGGAGGCATAAATACAACATTAATCATCCTGTAAATCTTCATCAGAGCTCTTGGATGACCAGATATATTGTCAATGAGCAGTAATATGTTAAAGGAAATCATTTTTGAGCAGTAGTTCTCAACAGTGATGAAAAAATATGTAGTAAATTGTGCTATAAACACATGTGCTATCATCCAGGCTTTGTTGTTCTATTTATAGTGCACAGGCAAAGTAGATTTAGGATAAGTCTTAAGCATCCTAGGATTTTCAGAATAGCTAATGAGACAGCTTCATCTTAAAGCTGCCAGTTCCATTAGCCCCTAACAAAAGAGTCAGCCTGCCCTTTGCAGGTATGAAGCCAAATACTTCTCCCTCTATCTATGAATTTCCTAAATGGCCTCTTCTTCTAATAGAAGACAATTTTTTCTACATTGAAAAATCTGTTGATTAATGTGGCCACCTTCATCAATGATCCTCACTAGATCTTCTGAATAACTTGCTGCAGCTTCTGTATAAGCAGTGGTTGCTTCACCTTGCACATTTAGGTTATGGAGATGGCTTTCTTTCTTAAACTTCATGATCCAACCTCTGCTAGCTTGAAGCTTTGCTTCAACAACTTCTCAGCCTTGATAGAATTGAAGAGAGTTAGAGCCTTCCCTAGAGCCTTCCCCTAGATTAGGCTTTGGCTTATGGGAATGCTGTGGATGGTTTCACCTTCCATCCAAACAATTAAAAATTTTTGCATATCAGCAAAGAGGTTGTTTAGCTTTCTTATCATTTGTGTGTTCACTGAAGTAGCTTTTCTAATTTCCCTCAATAGCTTTTCCTTCACATCCCAACTTGGCTAACTGACGCAATGGTTCTAACTTTGGACTTCTCTTGGCTTTTAACATGTCTTTATCAGTAAGATCAATTATTTATTTATATTTTTTGATTTAAAGTGACAGATGTATGTCTCTTTTCTTGCTTGAACACTTACTGTCCATTTGTACAGTTATTATTTGGTCTAGTTTTAATATTATTTTGTCTCAGGGAATAAGGAGGCCCAAAGCAAGAGAGATGAGGAAACAGCTGGTACATGGAATAGTAAAAACACACACAACAGATACCAATAATTTTGCTGTCTTACATCGCCAGAGTTTCGTGGTGTCATAAAAAATTATGATTTTAACATGAAAGATCACTGATAACAATAACAGCTGAATGCAGAAGTGTGAAATACCATGATAATTACCAAAATATGACACAGAGATATAAAGTGAGTACATGATGTTGAAAAAATTGCACCAATAGGGTTGCTCAACTCAAGGTTGCCACGACCTTCGATGTAAAAAACTCTCAATTTATAAGGAAGGAGCCAGGCTGAGACTTCAAGATGGCTGGCTAGTGGCATCTGGATGGAACTGGAGGCTATGTTAAGTGAAATAAGCCATGCCAGAAAGACAAATATTGCATGTTCTCATTCATAGGCGGGAGCTAAAAAGTAGCTAAAAAGTAGCTCTCTACTCTTGGAAGTAGAGAGTCGAATGATAGGTTTCAGAGGAAGGGAAAGGTACGTGTGTTGGGGTGGAGATGAAGAGAGATTGGTTAATGGGTACAAACATATAGTTAGATAGAAGGCATAGATTCTAATGTTTGATAGCAGAGAAGAGTGGCTCTAGTTAATAACACTGTATTATGTATTTTAAAATGACTAGAAGAGAGGACTTGAAATGTCCAACACATAAAACTGATATGTACTTGAGGTGATGAATACCCTAAATTCCCTGACTTAATCATTGCACATTCTATGCACATTAAAAAATCATATGTACTTGATAAATATGTACAATTATTATGCATTAATTTAAAAAATAAGTTCTGTGAAGTGCAATAAAGTATAGCAAAATAAAATTAGGTATGCCTGGAAAATGTTTTGAAATAGGAGAATATTCATGCATTTGAGGAAAAATGAT
This sequence comes from Homo sapiens, assembly GCF_000001405.40. NCBI lineage: Eukaryota > Metazoa > Chordata > Mammalia > Primates > Hominidae > Homo > Homo sapiens. The sequence continues at coordinate 19,294,264 of NC_000005.10, read as the reverse complement.
ACTTTCAGCATTCATAGTATAGTTGCAAAGTAGATTCTTAAGAAGTTCTCAAAATCCCCCAGTGGCAGAGTCACAGACCTGTTCTCTGAGGTGTAACCATTGATCTATTTTAACCTTAAAGGATGACTCTGTTTCCCCACACAAATGCTGCAGTATCCATTACAACCTGCAGTTGAGATACTACCCATTCCTCTCACGCAAATCACAGTGAGTTTTAAAAGTATTCCTTTCGCCCCTTTAAAAACATGAAACTCTGGATTTTTTTCTTTTGTTTATGGCTTCTAGTCATAAAACAAGATTCAAATACTCTTCTTTGGCAATATTTTATGACCTCTTGATGACTAGTACTAATTGTCTTAGACTTTGAAAAGTAAATTTCTCTCTACCTAAATAACACCACCATCTTGCCTTTGTTCTCTAGTGATTATCTGGTTAATTTAGCTGTTTAAATCACATTTTTACTGAGGTAGCAAAATCTCAGTTACTTACAACAACACAATTCTTTTTCTTTTGAGATTGACAATGAGTTACAGCTTTTCTGAGCTCTGCTTACCTCAAATAAGCTCTTTTTCTTGGACCCATGCTCAAAGAGTTGCTCATATTTGGGATGTGCTGTTCTCATGGTCAGGTGCAGAAACAAAACGATGCAGAACAAAATCACACAAATGTATTGAATGCCTCTGCACAAGTGTGGGAAAAAATGTCTACTCATACACTATTGAGGAATCAAGTTGTATAGTTAAGCTCAAAGTCAGAAAAATGTAATCATCATGCAGGGAAATGTGGCAAGAGTAGGAAGGGAACAAAGAACAGTGAACAACTAATACAGCTTACCACAGTGGAGAGCATTCATTTTCCTCTACTGCTATTTCACTCATCTTCCTCTCAAAGGCTCCAAAAGCTTCATCCAGTTATTCTATCAGTTATAATTCGCGGCATTATGACCTGCATCAGGTTGGGATACAGCTACGCGTCATCTAAGATACGTTATCTGAAAGGATAAGGTATCTGCTTCTTCCGATCTCTCTCTCCCCACCCCATCTCCCCCCACCACACACACACACACACACACACACACACACACACACACACACAGCACATAGAATGATGAAACAGGAGTAAGACAACTACATACACTCTCAAATTCTCACATTTGGAAAGAAGAAAATAGTAGACAGATACAGGTCACTTGTGAATAGCCGTGTTGAAAATCTGGCAGAAGTTATCTTCTTGATGAATGAAATAGTCTTTGCATAGGTTCTGGTTCATCCTAGAATGAGCTCCCAGGAGCATTGGTCTCTGTGGCTCCTAACTCACTCCTGTATAGAGTGATTTATTTTTTATCAGTCTCCTTGGGTATATTTAAAGAGAAAGGAAGAATACATGTTTCTAAACATGCTTCCTGTACCTAGTTATTTGAGGGTCTTGAGGGCCATTTTTAAAATCTTGAATAGTTACAATATTTCTTTCTTTCTTTTTTTGAGTGGGATTCTTACTCTGTCACCAAGGCTGGAGTGCAGTGACGTGATCTTGCCTCACTGCAATCTCCACCTCCCGGGTTCAAGTGATCCTCCCACATCAGCCACCCCAGTAGCTGGGACTACAAGTGCATGCCACGACATGCAGCTAATTTTCGCTACTTTAGGCAATAAAACCCAGTAACAATTTTTTTTCTAGTTGAATACAATTAGCTCCAATTGCTTATAGCCACGTGATTCTCTCTATATGATGAGAGACATCTTTAGCTTCTCAAAAGCCCATGAGATAATATCTTTGCTGTTTTTTTCCTAGAGCCATTGTGTTTGATTGAGGAGAATTTCAAAGTGCAACATTAATCCAATCAGATATTTTAATGAAGGATGTAATCATCACATCCTTGATTTTTAAAAAATCTTTTACTGCCTAGAATTGACAAGAAGTATGTATTCAAATCTGTCCTTCTAGTCCTAATTGTCTACATCCTTTCAATTTCTTTTTAACCCAGATTACAAAAATTCCTTTATTTCTGAGTTAAACTAATTTTTATAATATTTATCAAAGGCAGCTAATAATAATCAACTAATGCTACCAATATTCTATTTTGAGTAAAATCTCATTATCCAAAGCCACATATTTATTTGACAGCTTCGCTTTTCAAATTTTTATAGGTTTTAGTCATACACAAAGTTTTTGTGATACATAATATGGGTTGACATCTTAAAAAACTGAATAGCCTTTTCTTGTTAATTTGTACCAAGAACCACAGCTTATGTGACATATTTTAGGTGTTTGCTGTGGCAGCTCCCCATTTTTGTATACGTCTCACTATTAGGCAACTCTGACTGTGGAAACAAACAACACCAATACTTTAAGACTGACAGAAACAAGTATGTATTTATCAATCGCATTAAACGATGGTTGCAGATTAGATGTTGTTTTGCTGAGTTCTGCCAGCACTGCTATTCTTCACAAGCCGTTTCTTTCCAGAATGCATGCTGAAGGAGCAACCCTGATAGACGATATGTGGTATGCATGGCAGAGGGCAGAATTTCAAGAGACAGAGGCAGAACACGTGAGTGCATTAAAAGATTATGATTTGTCACGTAGCATATTTCATCTATGCACACTCCACTGCACAACAAAATCTCATGGCCAAGGTGAAAGTTCACTAGCAGTATACTCAACATAAAGAGAAGCATGTCATACTGTGGAGACAAGCAATAATTGTGAATTATTATATATGTAATATTTCTCACCACCTGTTGTGGGCTGAATTGTGTCCCCACCAAAGTTCTAACCCATAGTTGTTGGAAAGGGCATTCATTCACAGCCTGTCAATCCTTGTATGGTTGCTTAAGGATGTGACGTGAGCCTGAAACATTTTTAGCATGGAGATATGAGCCCTCAGAGTCTTTGCTGAGCATATCTCCTTATTTGGAAATATTTCTTCCTATATTGGGTTTGATGTGTATTTCTTTGTTCCACTTCTGTGTGCATCATAGGACACCTAGTGAACTCCACCACTATGTTCCTAATGGAGAGGAAAAGGGGTCAGAGTTTTTTTTCCAATATATCGAGACAGCACAAGACGGGTAGTTCAGACTATCTCTCTACATTGGTTGCAGTACCAGACTGGCTAGCCATGGCGGACTTGTACTTACTATTGAAGCTGATTTTGCTGTCTCCTCTTCTCCGTGTAAGTTGAGTGTTGTTCCATTCAATGCCTGTGTTTAAGTGTCTTGGTAATCTTGACACCTACAAATTATGCAGTGGATTAACAACATAGAACTGCTGTGTTCTTTGGCGTCCTTCTTGTAGCAGGACTCATCAAGCCCTCAAGAACAGGACTGCTTTTATAAATGGAACTGAGAGAGCTCCCTTGTCCTTTCTGTCATGTGAAGATGCAGGGAGAAGATAGTCATCCCTGAACCAGAAAGCAGGCCCACACCAGACACCAAATCTGCTGGTGCCTAGATATTGAACTTCCCAGGCTCTAAAACTGTAAGAAATAAATTTCTGTTGTTATAAGCCACCCAGTCCATGGGATTTTGTTATAGGAGCCCAGTAGAATAAACAAGGGTACCTATCTGTGCTTTTTAAAAATACATATTTACTGGTTTTTAAATTAATTTGTCTATATTTTAACTACATAAATACACGTAAGTTTCCCTTCTGAAAAGATAAGGAAGTAAACCAAATTTTAAAAATGTGAATATGTGAGTAAGTGTCTTGAAACAAAGTCCAGGGAAAATGCAGGAGCCATATTCCAAGAAATACTGCATTATCAATGCTCTCATTCTGTAGTACAAAAAATAATGATTTTTCTTTTTATTTTTAATGCAGAAATTAAAGTACCTTTTTACAAGCAATAGAATCTTTGATTTGGTAAAATCATAGCACTCTAAACTTTTTTATATGAAAGAAACATCTATAAATTAAAGGTGTCTTCAAAAGTAAAAGTAGAATTGAACGTATATTAAAGCAAAAATTATATATACATGTATGTATTTGTGTGTATACGTGTGTGTGTAAGTTTAAAGTTTCTTGCTGTATTAGGATTCTAAATAAAAACAATTCGTCAACCCTCAAGTTTTTCCATGTAGACCTACTCTAAAGAGTGATTTCATTTTTGATTTATTAATTTAAACTGCATGAAATTACTGGTATTTGGGCAATTTTGACCTACAAAAGCAGCAGTTTCATAAGGTCCAGCTAATATTTCCAAATACTCAAATGTCTCATATGTGATAGAGCATTAAATACAATTCTGTATATTCTGCCTTCATTATTCTGGGTCTTTACCGGGAAAGCCTCATGGGTCTAAACCTTACTTAATCAATGTGAGAGAAGTAATTCTCACTCAGAGAGGCTATTGGGGACAGGATGGCTTTGTGTGACGACAGGGACAAAAGAGTAAGGCATATCTCACTTACCTGCCTTTAGTTCCTAACTAGTTGTTTTGAATGGAGATGAATACATGTGTTTGAGAACACATACAATTTCAAACATCCTTTGTATACAATTTCCTTTTTTTAAACCTATTTTTATGGATTAGAACCGTAATAATATAATGCAAATTGAGCAGCATTGAAACTCACCTCCCAGAATGTAAGATATCTATGTGAGCTTGATCTAGCCTATAAAAGAAAACAAAGCATCCATTCTGCTGATGGAATCTTGTAAATAAAATATTCATGGCAAAAGAGAGGTAACAGAGGAGCTAGACAAACAGATCAGCTGAGTTTATGATCTTTTTTTTTTTTTTTTTTTTTTGAGACGGAGTCTCGCTCTTTCTCCCAGGCGGACTGCAGTGGCGCTATCTCGGCTCACTGCAAGCTCCGCCTCCCGGGTTCACGCCATTCTCCTGCCTCAGCCTCCTGAGTAGTTGGAACTGCAGGCTCCTGCCACCGTGCCCGGCTAATTTTTTGTATTTTTAGTAGAGACTGGGTTTCACCGTTTTAGCCAAGATGGTCTCAATCTCCTGACCTTGTGATCCGCCCGCCTCGGCCTCCGAAAGTGCTGGGATTACAGGCGTGAGCCACCGCGCCCGGCCAGTTTATGATCTTGACAGAAGACAGTAGTTTTCTGGATTGAACACAGATCACGTCAGAGGGAAGCAATGGTGGCTCCACACAAAAGAGAAGTAGCATGCAGTTACAGAGCGCCAGGCAAAACACCTTGACGCTCCACACCGTGGTCTTATCCTGAAAACCTTTCCGCTATCCCTGTGATGTCTTCCTCCTCCAAATTTTATCAATATCTTGCTAAATTCTTGAGACATAGAGACTACACTCCCAGTGTGTCCGGAATTGGTGGGTTCTTGGTCTCACTGACTTCAAGAATGAAGCCGCGGACCCTGGCGGTAAGTGTTACAGCTCTCAAGGTAGCGCATCTGGAGTTTGTTCCTTCTGATGTTCGGATGGGTTTACGAGTTTCTTCCTTCTGGTGGGTTCGTGGTCTCGCTGGCTCAGGAGTGAAGCTGCAGACCTTCGCGGTGAGTGTTACAGCTCTTAACGCAGCGCGTCTGGAGTTGTTCGTTCCTCCCGGTGGGTTCGTGGTCTCGCTAGCTCAGGAGTGAAGCTGCAGACCTTCGCGGTGAGTGTTACAGCTCATAAAAGCAGTGTGGACCCAAAGAGTGAGCAGTAGCAAGATATACTGCAAAGAGTGAAAGAACAAAGATTCCACAGTGTGGAAAGGGACCCGGGCTGGTTGCCACTGCCGGCTCTGGCAGCCTGCTTTTATTCTTATCTGGCCCCACCCACGTCCTGCTGACTGGTAGAGCCGAGTGGTCTCATTGACAGGGCGCCCATTGGTGCGTTTATGATCCCTTAGCTAGACACAAAGGTTCTCCACCTCACCACCAGATTAGCTAGATAGAGTATGGACACAAAGGTTCTCCAAGGCCCCACCAGAGTAGCTAGATACAGAGTGTGGATTGGTGCATTCACAAACTCTGAGCTAGACACAGGGTGCTGATTGGTGTGTTTACAAACCTTGAGCTAGATACAGAGTGCCGATTGGTGCGTTTACAATCCCTGAGCTAGACATAAATGTTCTCCACGTCCCCACCAGACTCAGGAGCCCAGGTGGCTTCACCCAGTGGATCGCGCACCAGGGCTGCAGATAGAGCTGCCTGCCAGTCCGGCGCCCTGCGCCCGCACTCCTCAGCCCTTGGGTGGTCGACGGGACTGGGCGCCGTGGAGCAGAGGGCGGCGCTCATCGGGGAGGCTCGGAGGGCACGGGAGCCCGTGGAGGGCGTGGGAGGCTCAGGCATGGCGGGCTGCAGGTCCCAAGCCCTGCCCTGCGGGAAGGCAGCCAAGGCCCGGTGAGAAATCGAGCGCAGCGCTGGTGGGCTGGCACTGCTGGGGGATCCAGTACACCCTCCGCAGCCGCTGGCCTGGGTGCTAAGCCCCTCATTGCCCGGGGCCGGCAGGGCCGGCCGGCTGCTCCAAGTGCCGGGCCCGCCAAGCCCACGCCCACCCGGAACTCCAGCTGGCCCGCAAGCGCCGCGCGCAGGCCGGGTTCCCGCTCGCGCCTCTCCCTCCACACCTCCCTAGAAGCTGAGGGAGCTGGCTCCGGCCTTGGCCAGCCCAGAAAGGGGCTCTCGCAGTGCAGCGGTGCGCTGAAGGCCTCCTCAAGTGCCACCAAAGTGGGAGCCCAGGCAGAGGAGGCGCGGAGAGCGAGCGAGGGCTGTGAGGACTGCCAGCACGCTGTCACCTCTCACCAACAGCAAAGGTAAACTGAATCTTTTCCATAATTTGGCATGCAGAAAGAAGATGAGAATGTGGAGATTTCTGTCTGAGCACTGTTTGTTTGTCATTTTTCTCTCTCATTTCTGCTGACTGAAAGGAAGTAGCTAACAGAAAAACAGGTTAAATTTTAGTTTGAAGCTTTTATTGCCATAACATAATGTGGCATCAGAGTTTAATCCTGGCAAGTAAGAGGGACAGTGAGTAGTACGGTTGAATATTTTGAGAAAGGAAGAATTGTGAGTTCAAATGAAGAGCAGTTTAATTCTATGCCAGTTGTTAGATGAAGAAATAAATGGCCAACTTTTGAGAAGAAGCAAAAAATTGGGCCCATGGTTAAATTTGGGGCAAGGAATGGAATGTGTAGAAGTATAAAATGGATCAAAGCTATTATTTTAATAGTGTTTTAAACCAACAAAATTTTTATGGTTAAGATAGAAACATAATAATAGGCTAGATATTTCTTAAAGGCTTTCTTAGTTTTTATTGAAATGCCAAAGAGAAAGAGGAATTAAAAACATCACAGAATATGATGAGAATTTCACTCCCTATAGTGAGGAATATAATACTATGGTGAATATAATAGAGAGTAGTTTATTCCTCAGATGGAACGTTCCAGAACTCAACCCACTAAGAATAACTCCTCTAGGTAGTCTCTGAATTAGACAGCACATTAGCTAACATTTCTGACCCCAAAACTGGAGACCAGTCCAAATATTACAAGTGCATAACTCTCCCAAGTCATTCTAAAACTAATGATACTTTATACTTGATATGGTTAGGATGTTTGTCCCCTCCAAATCTCATGTTGAAATGTGATTGCCAGCATTGGAGGTGGGACCTGGTAGGAGGTGATTGGAACATCAAGGTAAATCTCTCATGAATTGCTTAGTGCCATTCATGATGAGTGAGATCATATTGGCTTAACACACATTTTAATTGCTGTTGAACAAATCTTATGCTACCAACCGCATGCACATTTTCTAAACACAGCAACTGAGCTTTATTTTCTTCCATGGTTGAATACAATAGGACCTGGTTTTCTGCGAAGAAATTTATTTTTATGTCTATAATGCCTTCTCTAAATAACAAATAGATTATTTCTATTTAATATATTAACATTATACTTAGTCTTATTGATAAATCATTATATAAGGCTCTTAAAAATGAAGTAAGAGAACTCGAGTGCTCTTCAAGAAACTTGAACATTGGCAGAAACATTTAGCAAGAATTTTGGAAATGTAATGCTTTTCCAGATCATTTATCTTCATCCTAATCCATGCAAATTATGCATCAAGATGATTATAGGTACTAGAGGAAATTACATGTGTCTAACCTATTAAAAGTGCTCTAAATTCCACATAAATTAAGCCTGTTTCCAAGTATTAATTAACTAAATGTATAAAAACTTGATTATAATTTGGCCTCTGGCATTTGAAAAATTATTAATCCCCTTAAATTATCTTCTCTTATTGCTTCCCTTTTATTGAAACTCTCTAAATACAGTAAAATTACAAATTTTATTGCCAAAAAAGATAGAGTATGTCTCTCCTGATCTGGAAATTATACAGTTTCTTTCCATTCATAGCACTTACCCCCAAGAAAATCGGCTAATGTCGAAAAGCCAAAATTTGAGAAAATAGTAAATAACACTTTAAAAATGGAACTTAATTTCACAAAAGGGAAAGTGCTATTTGTTTCCAATTTTACAGTTATGCATTTTGATCATACTTCATGGTTTGAATCAATGCTCAAGACAAGAATATGAGGAGGATTATAAAATGGCAATTTGCAAGAATATCTTCTATATTTTATAAATTTAGAGTCTGAAAAAATAGACCCTAAATTCTCTCCATTACGGCTACTCAGTTTACGAGCAAGGCCATATAACTGTCTCTTGTTTAAATGAGAAAATTCTAAATGTGGGAGAATTTTAGTTTCTTTTCTTTTTTTGGAATGGAAGGAGTTTGTGGGCTCTGTACCTGATGGGTATTGCAGATCCATTAAGTTCACGTTTGGCATATTTTCTATTTTATTTATTTATTTATTTATTTATTTATTTATTTATTTACTTTTTGAGACAAAGTCCAACTCTGTTATCCAGGCTGGAGTGCAGTGGCCTGATCTCAGCTCACTGCAACCTCTGCCTCCTGGTTTCAAACTATCCTCTTGCCTCAGCCTCCCAAGTAGCTGGGATTACAAGCATGTGCTACCACACCTGGCTATTTTTTGTATTTTTAGTAGAGATGGGGTTTCATCATGTTGACCAGGCTGGTCTTGAACTCCGGACCTCAAGTGATCCACCCTCCTAGGCCTCCCAGTGTGCTGGGATTATAGGCATGAGGCACAGTGCCTGGCCTATCTCATTTATTTATATTGAAATCATCTGTATAACTGTCACAAATCAGTAATAGATGAAGAATCTTATTCAAATCATACCACTTTAAATTTGTTTCTTTATAAATTGCCCAGTTTCAGCTATTTTTTTTAATATCAGTGAGAATGGACTAACACAGAAAACTGGTACAAAAGAGCAGTGCATTCATATAACACTACTTGAATTGTGGAAGCAGCTTTGGAACTAGGTAATCAGCAGAGGTTAGAAGAGTGTGAAGGGCTCAGAAGAAGACAGGGAGATGAGAGAAAATTTGAAACACCCTAGAGACTGGTTAAATTGTTGTGACCCAAATACTGATAGTGATATGGACAATAAAGACTAGGCTGATGAAGTCTCAGATGGAGATGAAGAACTTACTGGGAATTGGAGCAAAGGTCACTTTTGTTATGCATTAGCAAAGAACTTAGTTGCATTGTGTCCCTGCTCTAGGGATCTGTGAAACTTTGAACTTGAGATTGATGATTTAGGGGGTGGAAGGTATTTCTAAGCAGCAAAGCATTCTTGAAGCAGCCTGGCTGCTTCTAAAAACATAGCTCATACAGATGAGCAAAAAAATGACCTGAAACAGAAACTTATGTTTAAAAGGGAAGCAGAATGTAAAAGTTTGAAAAATTTGCAACCTGGCCATGTGGTAGAAAAGAAAAGCCCATTTTCAGGTGGAGGGTTTGAAGCAGGCTGCATTAATTTGCATAATTAAAAGAAAGGCAAATGCTGATACAAAAGACACTGGGAAATAGGCCTTGAAAGCATTTCAGAGACCTTCATGATAACCCCTCCCATCACAGACCCAGAGGTTTGGGAGGTAAGAATAGTTCCATGGGCCAGGCTGAGGATGTGCTGTCCTGAGCAGCTTCAAGACAATGCTCCCCACATCCCAGTCATTCCAGCTCCATCCATGACTCAAATGAGCCCAGGGACAGCTTGGGCCACTGCTTCAGAGGATGCCAGCTTGTGAGCCTTGTTGGTTTCCACATGGTGTTAAGCATCTGGGTGCACAGAATGCAAAAGTTGAGGATTGGGAGCCTCCACCTATATTTCAGAGGATTTATCAAAAAGCCCTGATGTCCAGGCAGCAGCCTGCTGCAGAGGTGGAACCCTCATGGAGAACCTCTACTAGGGCAGTGCAGAGGGGGAAATGTGGGGTTGCAGACCCCATGCAGAGTCCCCATGGGGGCACTGCCTAGTGAAGCTGTGAGAAGAGGGCCACTGTTCTCCAAACCCCAAAGAATGGTAGATCCACTGGCAGCTTGCATCCTGTACCTGGAAAAGTCACAGGAGCTCAACAGCAGCCCTCCAGAGCAGCTATAGAGCCTGAACCCTGCAGAACCACAGAGGCAGAGCTGCCCAAGCCCTTGGGAGCCCACCCCTTGCCTCAATGTTCCCCGGATGTGAGACATGAAGTCAAAGGAGATTAATTTGGAGCTTTAAGGTTTAATGACTTTCTTGCTGGGTTTCAGACTTGCTTGGAGCCTGTAGCCCTTTTCTTTTGACAGATTTCTTCCTTTTGGAATGGAAACATTTACCCAATGCCTATAACCCCTTTATATTTTGGAGGAAACTAACTTATTTTTGATTTTACAGGCTCATAGGCAGAAGGGACTAAACTTGTCTCAGATGAGACTTTGGACTTTGGACTTTTGAGTTAATGTTAGAAATAAGTTAAGGCTTTGAGGGATTATTGGGAAGGTATGATTGGATTTTGCAATGTGAGAAGAACATGAGACTTGGGAGGGGCCAGAGGCAGAATGATATGCTTTGGATCTGTGCCCCCACTCATATCTCATGTTCAATTGTAATCCCCAATATGGAAGGTGGGACCTGGTGGGAGGTGGTTCAGTCATGAGGGCAGAGTTTTCATGAATGGCCTAGCAACATCTCCTTGGTGCTGTTTGCATGATAGTGAGTGAGGGAGTCCTCATGAGATCTGGTTGTTTAAAAGTGTGTAGCACCTCCTCTCTCGCTCTTTCTCCTATTTCAGCCATATGAAGTGCCTCATTCCCTCTTTGCCTTCTGACATGTTTGAAAGCTTCCTGAGGCCTCCCCAGAAGCAGAAGTCACTATACTCCCTGTACAGCCTGCAGAACCATGAGCCAGTTAAACCTCTTTTCTTCATAAATTACTCAGTCTCAAGTATTTCTTTACAGCAGTGTGAGAACAGACTAATACAGACGTCCAGGTTAAACATTATTTCTGGGTATTTGTGCGAGGGTATTTCCAGGCAATATTAGCATTTAAATGAGTGGATTTGGTGTAGAAGAATGTCTTCCCCAATGTGGCTTAACATAATCCAAACTGCTGAGGGCCTGAATAGAGGAAAAGGTATAGAAAGGAGAAATTCATCCCCTTTTGCTTCCTGACTGACTGGTGAACTGTGACATCAGTCTTCTGCCTTTGAATTAAGATTTATACCATTGACTTTTTGGGTTCTCAGACCTGTTGTCTTGGACTAGAACTACATAATTGGCATTCCTAGGCCTCTAGATTGCAGAGGGGTAGATGGGTGACTTCTCAGCCTTCATAATCTTTCTCATAATAAACATTTTTATGTATGTGTGTGTGTGTGTGTGCATGTGTGTGTGTGTGTGCACGTGTGTGTGTGTGTGTGTGTGTGTGTGTGTCTCCTATTGATGCTTTTTCTCCGGAGAAGCTTGACAAAATACACACATCTTAATTTTTAATTTTTTTATTTTGCATGCCTTTTAATTAAGTACGTGTTTGATATTTAAGAATGAGTGTAAATATTTAGGAAATTATTTGTTTTGGAAAAATTATATGGTGAATTTAATTGAAAGATGCTGATTATTTGATCATGGACAAGCACATTTAGCTTTGGAATTAATTTTATACATAGTTGCATGTTCAGTTTCACTATAGCTGATTAATTATCCAGTTTGTTTCTGAATTATTTTCTTTAGAAATTACTATTATTAATAAATCCTGAAGAAATTTATTAAAATATCTAACTGTAATTATAATTGATTAACATTTTACATCTTTAATATTTCTGTTCATGCATTCAGCTTCTTCATGGTTTTGTGCATACATGATGAGATGTGTACCTTCTTTGTGAATTATTGTACCTTTTATCTTCTTATAATAGCTGTCTTGGCAATATTCTTTATTTGTGTTCTTTCTTTAGCATTTCGTTTTATTGGATTTCTTGTAAACAATGTGTAACTGGGTGTTTTTGAAATTAATTTGGCATAATTTTTAATTTTTAAGGGTATTTATTAATGAGCACTGAATTAAACCATATGTAACATTGTTTTGTCTTTATTCTAGTTTAGATGTATTTACTTTATGCTATTGTTTTCTCCTGTTATTGTTTCCAATTATTGCCAATTTGATCAACATACTATTCTTCTTATTTGATCTTTATATTTACTGGTAATTTCTCTTGTACCTTTTTTTGAATATTATATAATTTTCTTCCCTATGATCATAATGAAATATGTGTTTATATGTTATTGTATATGTATAAAGATATATTATGTCCTCCTCTATCTTTTCTCTTCCTATCATATTCAAAGTCACTATATTAAATGAGCTATTTAAAATGCTTTTTTCAACATTCACTTTCCAAAGAAAATTTTAACTGTTCTTTCTCTTTCTTCTACTTCCATATTTCAAAACTCTAAGGTTTTACTAACTAATATATGCAACATTTAGCTCTAAGTCTTAATTAGCGTTCACATTAAGATATGTGTCTTCTTTTCCTAATGGTTTTATTAGCAATAATTACTTAATTCAGTTTTTTTCTAGCCCTGTGCATTTAAAGTATCTCTATTGTTTTGAATTGAATGTTTGTGACCTTCACCCAAATTCATAACTTGAAGCCCTACCCCCTAGTGTGGTCATATTTGGAGATGGAGCCTCTAGGAAACTAGTTAAGGTTAAGTGAGGTCATAAAAATGGGGCTCTGATTTCATAGATTAGTGTCCTTATAGTAAGAGACATCAGAACTGTCTCCCTGACTTCTCTCTCCCTGACACATGACACAGATAGAAGGCTCACATCTGCAAGCCAGAGAGAGAGAGAGAGCTCTTACCAGAAACTGGCCCTCTCATATCTTGATTTGGAACTTCTGGCCTCTAGAATTTTGAGAAAACAAATTGATCTTATTTAAGCCACCCAGTTTATGGTATTTTGTTATGATAGCCCAAGGAAAATAACACATCTAATGTTCCTAGTTCTGTTACAAAAACAAAAACCAAAAAACAGAAGGAAAAAATCTCTGCTCTCATGGAGTGATGTTCAGTGTCACAATGTAAGTGCTGATAAAAAGGTGAGGTTTATTCCTTTTTGCAGATGCTTGACTAACTCCTCCTGGTAGAGTGATATTTGAAGAGATCTTAGGAAAGTAGAGAGATCACCGTGTGTGGTGGCTCACACCTGCAATCCCAGAACTTTGGGAGGCCGAGGCAGGCAGATCACCTGAGGTCAGGAGTTTGAGACCAGCCTGGTCAAGATGGTGAAACCCCATCTCTATTAAAAACATAAAAAATTAGCCTGTAGTGGTGGTGCACACCTGTTGTCCCAGCTACTTGGGAGGCTGAGGCAGGAGAATTGCTAGAACCCAGGAGGCAGAAGCTGCAGTGAGTTGAGATTGTGCCACTGCTCTCCAGCCAGGGTGACAGAGACTTCGTCTCAAAAAACAAACAAACAAACAACAACAACAAACAACAACAACAACAACAAAGGAAAGTGGAGAGATCAGCTATGCATTTCCTGGATAGATAGTGATCCGGGGAGAGAGAACAAGTGCAAAGACTGTGAGACAGGAGAAACATTGGCCTAGGCTGGACACCAGCAGAAAAGGGTAGGTGAAGATGGTGGTAGGTTGAGATCAGAGAGATGGTTCAGGACCAGAGCAAGGAACCAATTTGAAGACCTTAAAATTTGTACTTTATTCTGAATGAAATGGTAAGAAAATGGATGGTTTTGAGTGGAGCATTGACATTGTTTCATTTCTAATTTCTAAGATCTCTAATTGTTGTATGGAGACTATCAAGACAGAACTCAAAGGAAAGAGATATAGAATTTTTTCCTGTATAGTTTTAATAAACATATTTCCCCAAATCATATACTGGTAAATTAATACTTTAAACTTTGCATTGCATTACTATATAGTGTTTTATCTAACAAAGAATTACTAGCTAGGCACAGAATTATTGGCGTTCTATCTTGTATTTCTCTTATCTCTTAATTTAAGGTGTTCAATTCTTTTCCAATTTCCATCTGTGATGGCTAATTTTATATGTCACTTGGTTAAGGTAGCCCAGATACCTGGTAAAACATTATTTCTGAGTGAGTCCATGAGGGTCTTTGTGGAAGAAATTAGCGTTTAAATCAGTGAACAATAAAGAAAAGCTGCTCTCACCAATGTGAGTCAGAGGGAGGCAACATTCAATCGGTTGAGCAGATGGATAGAAGGGTGACATTCTCTCTCTCTTGTTGAGCTGAGACACCTATTTTCTACTACATTTGAAAGTCCCAACTCCACGACTTACAGCAGTGTATGTAGGGGAGCCAGACATTACTTCAAGACCCAATTTTTAGTGGGCTCTTCAGCTGGATCTAGAGACCAAATTGACACCAAGCAGATAAATAAGAGAAAATTACACAAATGTTATTGGTTTTACATGTACATGTGGATCTTCACAAGAGAGTAAAATCCAAATAAGTTGCCATAGCAAGATGCTTTTATAACATTATAGACAAAGAGCAATACATTTGATAAGAAATGATGTAACAAAGAAAATATGTTTAGGGTGGTAAAATTTTCTAGGGGAGCCAGTAGGAGACATATTTGGGTGGGCAGAGGTTAAGTAGGTGGAAGATAAAGGTTACTTCATTAACTATGCTTATTCCAGTACATCGCAGCCTTCGATTCCAAGTCTCTGGTGATAAGGGCTATTTTCTTACTGCAGTACGGGAAAGGTACTCTTACCAGAGAAATCTTTATTACTTGCTGCATGCAGGAAGAGACAATTCAACTTACCTTTCTGAAACTAAAATTTCTCCAATGTTTTCAGCTTGAAATAATACACTAATCTGACATAATTTGGGCTGGCCACATCTTCACTCTTTCAAGTGCCTCCCCCTACTCTCCTGGTTCTTTGATTCTCAGCTCTTCAGCCTTGGACTGGCTCCCCTGGTTCTCAAGACTGCAAATTAAAGCTGAATTACACCACCAGTTTTCCTGGTTCTCCAGATTCCAGATGGCAGATTATAGGACTTCCTGGCCTCCATGATCACATATGCCAACTCCCATAATAAACCTCCTTATATCTCCTCTTCACATATACTATATATAATCTCCATACACACACACACACACACACACACACACACACACACACACACACATATGCATACACCTTTGGTTCTGTTTCTCTGGAGAAGCCTGACTAATACACCATTGTTACTAATAAAGTCAATCTGCATACACAGAACTGCCTTTAAGGCAACATTTTCCTCTGATATTAGAGCTTGCCTTTACCCTAATTTCTGAAATACTTTTTATTAGCGTGTAAATTTTTCTGGTTCAGCTCTTCAAAATGCTTGTGTTTTGCTTTCCTGCAGGATTTTTATAGCTTTGATATGTACATTCCTCTTTAATCTAGATCAGGGTTGATAATCTACAGGTCAGAGGTTAAATATGGCCACCTATTTATTTAGGTAAATATAATTTCATTGGAATGCAGCCATGCCTATTTACTTCTGTATTTCTGTGATTATTTACCTAAGAGGTAAATGGTCACAACAGAAACCATATGGGCAGCAAAGACTAAAGTATTTGCGATCTGGCTCTTTACAGAAAAAAGTCTTGCTGATCACTGATCTAAATCACTAATTAAATGTTGTACCCCTCTTCCTCGTCATTATAAATAATAATTCTTAGAAAATAGATTTCTAATTGCCTTGAAGATACTTATGGTTTTAATTTAATGTTGTTGCTATTTTTTTAATCTAGTTTTGTTTCATCAGAAGCAAGTATTTCTTTCTGGGAGACCCATTTATAGTTTCTCTCTCAATAGGCTAGCTGTATTAGTTTGTTCTTGCACTGCTATAAAAAATAACTGAGACTAGGTAATTTATAAAACAAAAAAGAGGTTTAGTTGGCTCGCAGTTCTGCAGGCTGTACTGGAAGCATAGCTTGGGAAACCTCAGGAAACTTACAATCATGGCAGAAGGTAAAGGGTAAGCATCCACATCTAAGATGACTGAAGCAGGAGAGAGAGAGAGAGAAAGGAGGTACTACATACTTTTAAACAATTATATTTCATAAAAACTCACTGTTGCCACAACA
The DNA here is from genome assembly GCF_000001405.40 of Homo sapiens. Taxonomy (NCBI): domain Eukaryota; kingdom Metazoa; phylum Chordata; class Mammalia; order Primates; family Hominidae; genus Homo; species Homo sapiens. The sequence goes on along the minus strand of NC_000005.10, from coordinate 19,277,826 downwards.
CCAAGGAGATGGTGTAAAATCATGAGAAACAACACCAATGATCCAATCACTTCCCACCAGACTCTACCTCCAACACTGGAGATTATAATCCAACATAAGATTTGGGAGGAGACACACCTAAAAACCATATCATTCTGCCCCTGGCCCCTACCAAATCTCATGTGCTTCTCACATTGCAAAATCCAATCATGCCTTCCCAACAGTCCTCCAAGGTTTTAACTCATTCTGTTATTAATCCAAAAGTCCAAAGTCCAAAATCTCAACTGAGACAAAGTTAGTCTCTTCCACCTATGAGCCTATAAAATAAAATTAAAAAAACAAGTTAGTTACTTCCAAGATACAATGGGGCTATAGGCATTGGGTAAACATTCCCTTTCCAAGTGCAAGAAATTGGCCAAAAGGAAGGGGCTATAGGCCCCATGCAAGTCCAAAACCCAGCAGCGAAGTCACTAAACCTTAAAGCTTAAAAATAATCTCCATTGACTCCATGTCTCACATCCAGGGAACACTGATGCAATGGGTAGGCTCCTAAGGGCTTGGGCAGCTCCGCCTCTGTGGTTTTGCAGGATTCAGCCCCTTCAGCTGCTCTCAAGGGCTGCTTTTAGGTTCCTGTGACTTTTCCAGGTGCAGGATGCAAGCTGCCAGTGGATCTACTATTCTGGGGTTTGGAGGACAGTGGCCCTCTACTCATAGCTCCAATAGGCAGTGTCCCTGTGGAGACTTTGTATGGGGTCTCCAACCCACATTTCCCCCTCTGCACTGCCCTAGTAGAGGTTTTCCATGATGGCTCCATCCCTGCAGCAGACTTCTCAGTATTTATTTACAGCAGTGTGAGAATTAACTAATATAGCTAGCCTGCTAAGAGATAAGCTATAAGTGGATCTCCAAGAAAGAAATAAAGTCTACACATCCAGACTTTTCTATACATTCTCTGAAATCTAGGTGAAGTCTCCCAAATTCAACTCTTGTACTATGTGCACCTGCAGGCTTAACACCAATGAAAGCCACCAATGCTTACTGTTTGCACCCTCTGAAGCCACATTCTGAGCTGTACTTGGTCCCCTTTTAGCCATGGCTGGAGATAAAGCAACCAGAATGCAGAGTGCCATGTCTTGAGGCTGCACAGAGTAGTGGGTCCCTGAACCTGGGCCAAGTCACAATTCTTTCCTCCTAGGCCTCCAGGCCTGTGATGGGAGGAACTGCTGCAGAGGTCTTGAAATGCCTCCCAGGTCTTTTTCACATTTTCTTGTCTGTTAGCAACTGGCCCCTATTTTTTTTTTTTTTTTTGAGACAGAATCTCACTTTGTCACCCAGGCTGGAGTGCAGTGGCGTGATCTCGGTTTATTGCAAGCTCCGCCTCCCAGGTTCATGCCATTCTCCTGCCTCAGCCTCCTGAGTAGCTGGGACTATAGGTGCCCACCACCATGCCCAGCTAATTTCTTGTATTTTTAGTAGAGACGGGTTTTCACCATGTTAGCTAGGATGGTCTCGATCTCCTGACCTTGTAATCCACCTGCCTTGGCCTCCCAAAGTTCTGGGATTACAGGCATGAGCCACTGCACCCAGCCAACTGGCCTCTCTTTACTTAAGCAAATTTCTACAGCCTGCTTGATTTACTCCCCTGAAAATTAGTTTTTCTTTTCTATCACATGGCCAGGCAAATTTTCAAACTTTTAAATTCTGGTTTCCTTGTAAATATGAGTTCCAGTTTCAGGTAATTTCTTTTCTCATGACCATGAGATAGACTTTTACAAGCAGCCAGGCCACATCTTGATTCCTTTGCTGCTTAGAGATTTCTGCTGCCAAATACGCTAAATCATATCTTTCAAGTTCAAAGTTCCACAGATTGCCTATAGCAGGGTGACAATGCCACCAGTTTTTTATTTTTGCTAAAGCATAACAAGAGTGACTTCTACTCCAAGTTTTAATAAGTTCTTCATTTCTATCTGTGACCTTTTCAACCTGGATTCACTGTCTGTTTCACTCTCAGTATTTTGGTCACAACCATTCAACAAGTCTTTAGGAAGTTCCAAATTTCCCACACCTTTCTGTCTTCTTCCGAGCCCTCCAAACTGTTTCAACCTGTGCCCATTAATGAGTTCCAAAGGCGCTTTCACATTTTCAGGTATCTTTATAGCAATGCCCCACTCTCAGTATCAATTTGCTATATTAATCTGTTCTCACACTGCTAGAGAGAAATAACTGAGACTGAGTCATTTGTGTAGAAAAGAGGTTTAATTGGCTCATGCTTCTGCAGGCTGTACAGGAAGCATAGCCTGGGAGGCCTCAGGAAACTTACAATCACTGGAGCAGTTCAAAGGGATACAGGCATATATTACATATATGGAGTAGGGGGTAGAGAGAGAGCAGGATGGTGCTACACACTTTTAAACAACCAGATGTTGTGATAACTCACTCTTGCCATAACAACACCAAGGGGGGTGATGTTGAAACGAGCACTGCCCCATGATGTAATCATCTCCCACCAGGATCCACTTTCGACACTGGAGATTACAATTCAACATGAGATTTGGGTTGGGACACAATACCACTAGCCCTCCTATATGTCTTATTTTTTCCTTTGCCTACCCTTGATCCTCATCAACCCTGAGGCTCTAGGTAAGCTGGTCAGGTAACTAAACTAGCAAAGAACTTTCAAGCATAGGAGAATGTTGCAGGCAGCTTCTGTTGATGAGCTAAATAGTGTGTTAGGCTGCTGGCCTTGCCATAAAGGAATACCTGAGACTGGGTAATTTATAAAGAAAAGAGGTTTAATTGGCTCACATTTCTGTAGGCTGTACAGCAAGCATGATGCTGGCATCTGCTTGGCTTCTGGAGAGGCCTCAGGGAGCTTTTACTCATGGCAGAAGGTGAAGTGGGAGTAAGGGTTGGGTATAGACCACATACTTTTAAACAACCAGGTATCATGAGAAGTACTCACTATCTTGAGGACAGCACCAAGCCATGAGCGATCCACCCCATCACCCAAAACACTTTCCCACCAGTCCCTACCTCCAACATGGGGTACTATTAGGTTGGTGCAAAAATAATTGCGGTTTTTGTCATTACTTTTAATGCAAAAACGTCAATACATTTTCAACATGAAATTTGAGCAGGAAAAATATCCAAATCATATCAGATAGTCAGACAAAAGTGGAGAATTTCTAACTTGCTTTGGGATAGGCAAAGAATTACTAACAGGGTGCAGGATCTTATGAACTCAAGATTTGTTGCAGGAGAGCATGACTTTCTGGATGTCAGAAGGATTCGTCATCTAATTCATGAGTATAGTGTTGATTGCAGCCCCTTTCCCCTTTCCTTCTGTAACTTCTGAACGTCCTTTGAAAATCTGAAATGCAGAGGTGGTGGTCATAAAATAGAGCATACTTACAGGGTTTTGAAGTTTACTCTGTAGTTATAAGTAGTCAAATCACTCCTAAATGTATTGCTCAAAAGTATAAGATTGGTAAAATACATGGCAAATAGTAGCACACATTTTGAATTAAGACAGGTTTGGAGAGGTTTTATAACTGTAAAAAAAATGCATTGAAGCAGGAGTGGGATATCATTTTTAAATAATTAGAGTGAGCTGACAAATTGAAATGGGAGAGGTGATTCCAGCAAGATGGCTGCCCCATTGTCATGCCCATCTTCCTAACTTCCATCTCTAAGTCAACTATTGAATACCTGTCTCGGTAGAGCAGCTGCTAGGAGCAGGTGAAACCAAAGAGTTTATCCATATTCTTTGAGTATCTGGGTTTTTGGAAAGAGAGAGTGAGTTCAGCTCTTTATTTTCTTTGTCATGAATGAGAAACTGGGCCAGAAATCCTTGGTAGAGTGCTCAGAATTCCACAAAAAGAGCACTCAACCTAAAGAGATCCATGAACCCCAGACAATAATCTGTAGGTGTGGTTGTGTGACAACATGCTCATGATTTCCAGGGACACAAAGCATCTCCAGGAGACTGTTAAACCTACGGTTCAAATTCTGCCCTAACCCTTAGTTTGGAATAGCCTTATGCTATTGCATTTAAAGAGGTTTAATTGCAATTAAACCTCTCTTGTAAAGCCTTATGTTTTATACAAATATATACTAAGAACATAATATAAGAATAGATGTATGTTAAATATCAGAATCCAAAGACTAAAAGAATATACAACCATAAACTAGAGATCTAGAGGCCACATGGGACAGACAGACCTTTAGCATCACATCTCAATGTCCTGTGATAAGTCCTGTGGTAATGGTTTCCTTAGGTGTTATCAGAGTATTGACTTAGGGACTAGATCAGTCAGTAACTTTGCTGAAAAAAATCCAATGGGTTCTTTCATCTACTTTACTTAATTTCCTTTGCCTGGGATTTAAAACCTTGATAAATTCTCAACTACACAATGCCTATTTTTCTAATAAAATAGAACTTAAAATTGTGACTATCTGTTATCAGAGAATACAAATGTGTTTTTATCTATTTCTCTTTTCACTTCATCTTAATGGGAAATTCTTTGAGGAATCACACTCTAAATATTTATTGTAACCTTAGAAAACATAACAGATCAAAATATCAATTATAATTCACTAAACTACATATAAACCACTCTGAACAAAAGATGTAATTAGCTTATGTTTGGTTGTGTTAGAAAAACTAGGAGCAAAAATAAAAATGAAATTTTGATGCCTGTTCTGGGAAGCCAGAATTTAATTCAATATTTTGTTAGTGATGTTGGATAATACTTATCATTTTAATGAAATTATTCCTCATGACTTGATTTGTACAAACTAAAAAAAAAGATGGGATTATTTTGATATATATATATTTTTCTGCCTAGAAGAAATGAGTCAGTGAATATATTAGATCAAAAGGAGAAGTTTCAAAAATAGAATTTATAAATAGTAGAAATAATAGGGACATTGTTTCCATAAACTAGAGAATAGCACTGTTGTAAAGTTCATAGTGGATTTAAAAATAAAGTGAAAACTAAATCTTGTTGGCTTCATAGCCTGGAGTGAAAACACACTGAGACTTAAATATTAACATTTGGTGCCATTTCTTGTTCTATTAATGTTATGATGAGACTAACTTTCACTAATTTGTCTTCTCACACTTCAGTTTCACAATATAACTGCAGACAAATGGACTGAAATAAGCTAAATATTCTGTACATCATCTTCTTCTTTGCAATGATTTATTTCCCTAATAAAAAGCAACCAGTATTCTCTATTTTGAACAAGTATGATATAAATGATATAAAGTATAAAAAAAAAGAAAAGAGGCCAACATATTATATATGGCAAATGACTTTGGTACCATAGGTCTATGAATCTAAGGAGCTAAAGTTCATTTCAATCTACACTTGGGTGAATTGGCTTAAGAACCCTGAAGGTAAAACAAAAACTTAATATTGGTAGAAAATAGAATTGGCTTCACTATTTCATTTTAGTGAGAGTTTGCTAGACATGATAAACTCTACAACATAAAAAATTGTGCTATCTTCGTTATCAAGACTGCAGTTTTGTTTATTGTTTAAAACTGAACAAACAGAATTATGCATTCCTTCAATTTAATAACATTTCTGCTACAACATCAGTATTAAATGTTGATTAATGTTAGAAAGTTTTGCATTGCATGCATTTTGTATTGTTGTACATAATATAAGCAAAACAGGAGTAAGATGTTTGCCAATTTGTGTCTGTTGACATTCATATTTTAATTAGTATTTTTCTTCTGAATACCATTTAGTATATCATAATCATAATATGTTCACATAAACAAGCTAAATGCAAGTATATTTATTTCTATTGCTACCATAACAAATTATCTCTAATTTAGCAGCTTAAAATGAAACATACATTATCTCCTAGTTCTGTCATAGTATCATAAAAGTAGAGTACTGACAGAGCTGCATTATTTTCTTAAGTATCTAAGGGGAGAATCTTATTTACTTGCTCCTTCACACTGTTGGTAGAATATAGTTTCTCTAAGTTGTAGACTGAAGTTCTCCTTTCCCTGATGGCTGTTCCAGGTGACCATTATTCCCAGCTTCCAGAGGCCACTCCCATTCCTTGGCTTGTGCCCCACCCCCTTCTTTTTCATCTTCAAACATGACAATGGTGAGTTGAATGCTTATGCTTTCAATCTCTCCTGCCTCGTTTTCCATACTTCCATTTCTTTTATGAAAACTTCTGCATTCCCGCTTTCCTTTTAGGGTCCCATCAGATTATTAACATTGGGCCCACCCAAGCAATCCAGGGTAATCTTCTAACTCAAAGGAACCTCATTTTACCTACAAAATTCATTTTGTCATTTAAAGACAGGTTCCACGGATTTGGATATGTACATCTGGGGAAGGGGCATTACTCCACCTACCACAAGTTACTTGAAAGTGTTAAGACTTCTTTGGAATCTAGTCATTGAAGGAAAAAAAAAGTTGTCTTTTAATAAACAATTTGAGAGAGTTGTTTACTTTCTCAGAGGCTCAATTTGTAAGCTGATGTCCTCTGTTCTCTACCCTGTAAACCAAAAATAAAATACTAACACCCTCCTAACCATCTGAATGGACCCCTCCTCTCAGCCATTGGTATTCCAAAGTTAAAGTGAAAAAGTGGTTCAGGCTAATATGGGAAAGGGAGGGTCAGACCACACTTGGCCTTCCTCCCTTTTGGAATTCAGGAAAAGCCAACTAGCATGGACATCAATACAGATCTCGCTGTGGATAAGAAACACTTACCATCTATTATCTCTGAAGCCTGCTACTTGGATGCTTCATCTGTATGGCAAGACCCCAGTCTCCACAACCCCTTATTATAACCCTCTGCCCCCGCTTTGAGTTGTCCCTCCCTTCCAGATCAAACCAATGTCAATCTTACATGTATTGATTGATGTCCTATGTCTCCCTAAAATGTATAAAATCGAGCTGTACCCTGACAACCTTGGGTGCATGTTGTCAGGACCTCCTGAGGCTATGTTATGGGCATGTCCTTAACCTTAGCAAAATAAACTTTCTAAATTGATTGAGACCGGTCTCAGGTACTTTTGGGTTCACAACCTCATTGAGGCTTTTGGCGTATCTGGTGGACCTAGCAGACCAGCTTTCCCAGAGCAATTTTTCTCCTTTGGTCCAATTTGATTCAAAGATGAGTCATAGACACTGGCTTATGTTCAGGTAGTTTATTCTGGCTTGACCTTACAAAACAATAAGCAGGTACAAGCCGGTGACACTAGCCAAATGCAGTCAGGGGTCAAATAGCTATCTCAGGGAGACAGTCTCAGTCTTGAGATTATTTTCAGATTCTTGAGAGCTTGTCCTTTTTTATTTCTGTACTCAGTCTGGGTCAGTCACCAGGTGTTTCTTTAATAAAGGGAGTTTAAGTTATTCTTGCAAGGGGAAGCTTTATTTTAAGGTTCATGAAAGTTCCATCTGTGCTGACGCAGCCTTGTCTCTAGGGCAACCAGGGCTTTTACATCCTGTTGTCATGGAGACCTGGTAATCCCTGGACTAGGTTACATCATATTGTTAAGTGACACGTGACGTAGACCCTGCCAGATGTCTGAGTGCACCTTTTCGTGATCATTAATCCTATTGCCAAGATATGCTCTTGTAGTGTACAACATCCATAATATGGGTTTTAATATATTAAATACTTGTCAATTCCTAGCTTAGCAAGGCAACACAGAGTAAAAGAAAGATTTTCATCATCTTCCTCCATCCTTTCCTTTATTGATTCCTTAATGTTTGTTGTCTCTAGAAAATAGCCTTCTCTTTCCTCTTTTATATGCTAGCAAATATCTCTGTCTAAATGCGTAAATTCCAAAAGATGGTTGCTACTGTTTGGCTCTGTGTCCCCACCCAAATCTCATGGCAAATTGTAATTCCCAGTGTTGGAGGAGGGGCCTAGTGGGAGGTGACTGAGTCAGGGGGATGGACTTCCCCCTTGCTCTTCCTGTGATAGAGTTCTCGTGAGATCTGCTTGTTTAAAAGTGTAGCACCTCTCCACAGCCCTCTCCAACCGGCCATGTGAATATGTACTTGCTTACCCTTTGCCTTCCACCATGACTGTAAGTTTCCTGAGGCCTTCCAAGAAACAGAAGCCTCTACAGCCTGCAGAACCACCCAGTCTCAGGTATGTCTTTATAGCAGTGTGAGAATGGACTAATACATGGGTTGATCCCTACTAGATATCCCATAAGTAGGTAAAATTTATATATTTCTAACAGAACAAATATGTTTAACCTCCATCTCCCCACATCTACCTATCTTGTGTATTTGTTGCTTAATTAACGGCATTCACTTCAATGACCAAGGCTAACCCCATGGACTATCCTTGACATTTTCTCCTTTGTAACAATCCTCAGTCATTTGCTCAGGTGCCATTCACACTACCAAATAAGCTCTCTCAAATGTGCTCATCTTTTATATCAGGCTTTTAATTCTAGTTCTCTAAGCCCTTACTATTGTTCAGTAGCAAAAGTCAGTTCAAAGGATGCTTTTTAATGCTTGAGCTACTTGACCTCTCAGAAATATTCCACAAGATTGAACACTTTTTCCTTCAAGGGCTCATTCTTTGTCTATATGGATTAAGGGATCTTGTTTCCTTCTTCTATTATTGTTTGCCCTTGTGAGGGTTAAATTTTATATATCAATTTCAGTAGATTAGTGCCCAGTTGTTTGATCAAACACCAGCCTAGATGTTGCTGTAAATATATATATCTATTTTTTTTTTAGGTGCAGTTGACATTAACAATTAGTTGACTTTAAGTAAAGCAGATTATCCTCCGTAATATGTGTGAGCCTCATCCAATTAATTCAAGGCCTTAAGAGCAGAGAGTCATATTTCCCAAAGGAAAGGAAATTCTCTCTCCAGACTGCAATATAGAAATTCTGTCTGAGTTTCTAGCCTTTGAACTGAGGATTGCAACATCCACTCATACCTGAATCTTCAGCATCCTGGCTGCACTGCAGATTTCAAATTTCCCAGCCTCTAAAATCACTTGAACCAATTTCTTAAAGTCTATGTCTCTTTCTTTCTGTGTGTATGTATCTGTGTGTGGGTATATATAATATATATATGAACTAATAGATTATATTTCATTAATAAATATAGGAGATTTAATAAGATTTAATCTCATGATAGGATAATAGAAAAATTATCTTCTATTATTTCTATTTTCCTAGTGAATCTTTGGAGATATCTATTCCTTATGCCTGCATATTTAAGGATGGCAATATTTTGGACTTCAGGGTTTTGTCTGAGGCCCTGTATCCTTGTAATTTTACATATTTTTCTAATAAAATAACCACTGTTTAAAAATTTTATATCTAGGTATCATTCTTCTGAACTCATATTTTATTTAACATCTCTCAATTTGTCTATCTCACACTCAGCATGTTCCAACCCGAGCTCAACGTCCATCTTGTGTCTACACCTCCATGATTAGTTCTGCTCCTCTTCCAATACTCAACCCAGAAAGAGGAAAGTCAAACTTTAATCCTTTTCAATTTTAATCAGTCACTAATTTACCTTCCTGTTGATTTCAATATAAAAATATGTGTACCACATCCCTTTATTTTTAACAAAATCATTGTCTAGCCCAGTCTAATCTTTTAATAGACTACACTACATTCATGTATTTTTTTTCTTTAATTTACCCTCCCTGTAATACTGTTTTATTGACTTTAGGAAAAATTATACATACTTCCCTTCTTATTTCTCCAGTTTCTTTTCTCATTATTTCCCCTCTAACAATATGCTTCTGTGGATGCCGCTTATTTATCTCCTTATGTTCTTTTCTTGTTCTGTAGACAAAAAAAGACACTGGGACATTCTTTTTCACTTCTACCTGATTTATTTCTACCTATACTTAAATCTCACTGTGTTCATCTTTTGTGTATTTAGATAGGTCGAGTTATTGTGTCATGTTCTCAGTGAACTCTTTGTTTCCATTTGTTTTTAGCATTCATCAGACTTAATCTCACTAGTTCACTATCTCTCTGCCTTTCTCAACTGTAGACCTTTAAAGACATAGACTAAGTTTTATTGTTCATAATTGTATCCCTGTGGCTAGCATAGATTCTCAAACATGTCTGTTGTTCAATGCACTTTGTTCAAGAGGGAGCTAATGGGCATATGAATGAACTTCTCTCTATTTGTTGTATGTTGATTGATTCTCCTCAATCCTTTCTTTACTCAGTTTTTTCATTCACTGCCCTAAAATATAAAATACACCATACTGGCCAAGCATGGTATCTCACTCCTGTATTCCTAGCATTTTGGGAGGCTGAGGCAGGAGGATTACATGAGCCCAGGAGTTTGAGATCAGCCTGGGCAACATAATGAGAACCTATCTGTACAAAAACAAAATAAGAAAAATAAATAAATAAAAGTAAAAATGGACCATCAGTCTTCTGCTTAAAAATATTCCATGGCTTTTCATCAATTTATGAATAAATATACATACCTTGCTATTGTACATTCGAAACTTCTTTGCTTAAATTAGAAATTTAAAAAAACAGGTCTAAATAATGAAGTGCCCTACAGATCCATTTCTCCCTGTAATCTCAATAATGAAAAGGCAGACAATATAATAGAATTAAAATCAGAAGTGGCCTGGTTTCTTACTCAGTTATTCTGAGCTCAAACAACTTCGCAGAGCATTGAAGACCCTGAAAAGTTCCCAGTTCTGAGAAATCAGAAAACAGTGAAAGTTTTTTCTTTGTCTTATTTTCCTTGCCTTGAACTTTCCACCTCTCCTCTACAGAGCCACATCCATTTGCCAAGTCAGAGAGAGACAACTACCAATGAAGCATAGCCCCAGACATTTGCACATCATCACATCCTGCCTTCTATTATTGTACTGCTGCCTGAGCACTGCAGAATCAGCTTTAACATCTGGTATCCCCTTTCAGCAGTATCAAATTAATTGCAGTTGCTAAAATTCATCATATTCTGTCACTCGTCTGACACATATTCATTGAATGCGTATTGCACATCCGATAATTGTCTATGCTTGAGACACTTCAGTAAATAAAATAGATTGCTACTATATTGTGAAACTTACATTTCAGTGTCATGCATTTGTACCTTACATAGGCTAGTACATTTCAATAAAGCACAGTTTCCTAATTTCTGTACAAATAATTCAACATTGTTTTCAAACATTTTTAAGCATTATCTCTTGTAAGAAATCCTATGCAGAGTATTATTACATCACATAATATGCAAAATTGTAGTGTGGGTACTCTGCCATCATCACCTTTATATCTACAAGCTCTATCCATGGCTCAGATGAGGTTTTGAATGGAAATGATAGACAAAACTGTCACTTTTAAATGCTATGTTTATACCTAATAAAGGCCATGGGAAAAAGAGAGTGGGGCAGATCAGTTTGGGTTATGGACTGCTAAGGGAAATAAAAGTGGGCATCTGGCTTGAAGGATAATAGTAACAGAAGTATCTTTGATAAGACTAAGTACAAGCTGTATTACAGTCATGCTTGTTCTAATCTTATTCTGGTTGCTCATGTGTTTGTACTAATAGAGATGTTGAAGTGAGGTCAGTCTCATTGGATCTACAGGTGTTTGAATAGACTTAGTCGCTAAGTCTTGGTAATCTTGGTAGTTTCTTATGTCAGAATCACAATATTGTAAGTTTAGGTTATCATCTTGGTTTCTGTAGAAATGTCCAGTTATGGAGCCAATAGTAGCATGTACCTTGCAGGAGAGGCAGCTCATATCTTTTCCTTTATCATTCTCTAAGCCTAATATAATTGAACATTTTGGATGCTCAAATTACTGGATCTCACCTTATTTTTTGGCAAACAATAAAGCAGCATGCATTCTTCATGAAACTAATTTGAACAGACCTTATTTAGAAACCATAAAGAAGAATCTTCCTCTTTATCCCTCTGGTTGGATGTCTTTATAGTAAAAGGGTTTTTTTTTCTTTTCTTTTTCATTGATGCCTATGTTGTTATTCTTATCATAGACTATTAGACCATCTGGACTGGACTTTGTTGAAATTTTTTCTCAAGCGTTTGAAGGCTGAATTAAAGACTATTTCTCTAGTCATTTCCCTAATGAGCAGGGAGATATATACATAAAATTATCCTTTAGCTGACTCAGTTTTGTAAGTTCACATCTTCATTTTATGGTCTCTGAGAAGAGAGGTTAAGGAATAAATCAGTATAATAGAGAGGGCAGAAAGCTTGTGGGTGATTCCAAGAGAATTTCACTTTTATCTTTCCCAGTGGTAGAATTTCTTTATTCATAACTGGATAAATTTTCTACATTTACTATCAAAATGTAGTTCAGCTGATAAACTTAAGTCAGGAGATCTGTAATCTGAGGATACTATGCAGAGTAAAGAATCAAATCATTTAATTATTCCAGCTCCCTGTGGCTTATCAATATTCATGGATTCAGGTCATCCTTATCATTTCTTGATTTGTGCAAATTGAAAAACTTAATTGTACAACTATTTCCCCTCCATCTAGTGAAAGTAAATAGATATTCTTAGTTTCTATTATCATATATATTTACATATTGTTTGCCCTGGGGATTATCCATCTCAAATTAAACACATAACTGAATAACAAGGTTGACCTATTGTTAGTAAGGTAATATATACATCAAAAAATAGTATAGCTGCTGTTGAAGGAAAAACCTCAGCTGAATTAAATTCTAAAAAATTTAATTGAGCAATGAATGATTTGTAAATCTGGCAACCCCCAGAATTCTGGCAGATTAAGAGACACTCTAAGGATGCCTCATGGTCAGAACAAATTTATAGACTAAAAAAGAGAAGTGACGTAAATAAATCAGAGGTGAGGTACAGAAACAGCTGGGTTGGTTACAGCTTGGCATTTGCCTTACTTGAACACAGTTTGAACACTCAGCAGTGTATGACTAGTTGAAATATGGCTGCTTGGATTAGCCAAGATTCCGGTATTGTTACAGGCACATACTCCTAAGTTAGGGTTTCAATCTTGTCTACCTATTAAGTTGGGTTGCTGTTTGTCCATAAGGACTCAAATATAAAAGTACAGTGTCCTTCTCAGGTCATATTTAGTTTGCCTTAACACTGCTAAAAACACAAATTGTAGAGTAAGACTGACTGGGTTCAAAACCTGGCCCACCCCATATAGGTCACAGGACTTTGCACACATCACTTAGTCTCCTTTGACTTCATTTCTTCAGCTATAAAATGGTGATAATAGTGAAACATGTATCACAGAGTGGAGTAAAGACTAAATAACATAATTGATAGGAAATTCATAACACAGTGCTTGACACAGAATACGCACATTTAGAACTTTATGGTTTATGCAATGAATATTAAAACAGAATTCAAGGGAACTTGGAAAGACAGAAATAAGAAACACTGAATCAGCCTGATACTCTAATATATACTGATATGGTATTGCCTTTAAAATGTCTATCACTTAAAAATTCCTCTAGTAAGAACATAGCCCTCATTGAGATAAAAAGTCTGTATGAGATCCTTTAGAAGAAAATCAAATCTTATTGATGGTGATATAATTTGGTTATAAGTAGTGTGACTATACATTCTTGTCTGTCTAATAGAATCTCAATTTATGCCTGTCATGGTGTAATAATTAATAGCATCCTCTTAGATTCTCAAAATGATTTGGTTTGTTTAGCAAATTATATGGTCACACTAATTTTAAAAGATGTACGATAAGATAAGCATTAGATAAACACTATCTAGGCCTTTAATTTTTTTTTGCTCCATTATATATTCCACAGGTAGATTGAAACAAAGTATAAGAAATGTATATGTTTATTCACGAATCAACAGTTCAATAGGTCTATGTGTCCAGTTGGGTTTAATTGAAAATAATTTATAATATATCACATTATTATTGACAATCTAATTTCCATAAGGAGATTCCAAATCAAATATTCACAGTCAAAATACTTCCAGCACATGAACCCACAAAATACAACAAAAATTCCATTGAATTTCAAAGCTATTGCACCAACAAGGGAAGCATTTTCTTTTTAGTAGTAGAGTATGAAAATTGATATTTCAAAATCACATTTCCCTGATAACCAGGCCAACATATACATCTAATATGAAAAGCTCAATATCTAGGGTAGTTTTTAAAAATTATGAGTTTTACTGCTGTTTACTCTCCATCAAATCCTCATGTTTCAATGTATCTTTATGCATAAACCCATGTTTCATGTATTAAACCGAAGAGTAAGAGGACTATAATCTATGTTGGGGGACAATTCTCTATGAACCTTTTGCATTTCAGCACATAATGTTAGTAGGTATTGATAGCCTTTTCTTGCACTATCTATCCACAAATATTTGTATAACAAATAGCATTGTAAGACAATGATGTTCCAGAACAGGGTGCTGGTGTATTCAAGTTTAATCAAGATAATATCTTCCTTCTGGGCAAAGTTTGGGCAGATTTTTGGGCATCTCATTATGAAAGTTTAGTGTTTCCTAAGCTCAGGGTTCCTCAGGGTGATGTAAATCCATATTTACAGCATCTGTATAGGCCCACCTGCATTGCTTCCCTGGGATTTGTGGTGCATGGAGAATAAGCATGAATGTGAAGCTTGCATTGCCTGTTCTTATGTAGTAATAAAGTCCTTTGTTTTTGACATAGGACTCGAATCTTCTGCCAGCAATCATGAAACCATTGCAAGATAACAAGTTAGTTCACAAATTAGTAATTTTTCTCTATTAAATTGTAATAAGAAATATATTAGTATTATTCATGTAACATTTATTTTTATTTATTTATCTTTTTGAGATGGAGTTTCACTCTTGTTGCCCAGGCTGGGGTGCAATGGCATGATCTTGGTTCACTGCAACCTCTGCTTCCTGGGTTCCAGTGATTCTCCTGTCACAGCCTCCTGAGTAGCTGGGATTACAGGCAAATGCCAGCAAGCCCGGCTAATTTTTGTATTTTTAGTAGAGATGGGGTTTTGTCATATTGCTCAGGCTGGTCTTGAACTCCTGACCTCAGGTGATCTGGCCGCCTCAGCTTCCAAAATTGCTGGGATTTCAGGCGTGAGCCACTGCGGCCAGCCCACATTTAATTTTTTTTTTTTTTCTGAGACGGAGTCTTGCTCTGTTGCCCAGGCTGGAGTGCAGTGGCACATCTCGGTTCACTGCAAGATCCACTTGCTGGGTTCATGCTATTCTCCTGCCTCAGCCTCCCAAGTAGCTGGGACTACAGGTGCCCACCACCACGCCCAGCTAATTTTTTGTATTTTTAGTAGAGACAGGTTTCACTGTGTTGGCCAGAATGGTCCTGATCTCCTGACCTCGTGATCTGCACATTTAATTTTTATACATAGGTTTTACGTATGTCTGCCTAGGAATACACACTACACAAACATATCTCTCTCTCTCTCTGTTCATATGTTTGCAATGTATGCTTTAAAGTAAATTATGTTACTCAAAAATAAATTCTATTTCCCATAGAAAATTATGACTTCACACAAATGTAAATCTGGTCATTTTATCAGAACAAGTCATCCTGATTAAATAACAGCAATTTTTACTGTCTAGCACAAAGATAATTTTTGGGACAAAGACAAAAATAACTTACCATGTGTATTTGTTTGGTTTCATGCTGTAAATAAAGAGAGAGACCCCTGGGTGATTAATAAAGAAAAAAGGTTTAATTGACTCATGGTTCAGCGTGACTGGGGAGGCCTCAGGTAACTTACAATCATGGCGGAAGAGAAAGCAAACATGTCCTTCTCCACATGGCGGCAGCAAAGAGAGGTGCAGAGTGAAGCAGGGAGAAGCCCCTTATAAAACCCTCAGATCTCATGAGAACTCACTCACTATCACCAGAATAGGATGGAGGTAACTACACACATGATTCAGTTACCTCCCACTGGGTCCCTCCAACGACACATGGGGATTATGGGAGCTACAATTCAAGATGAGTTTGGGTGGGGACACAAAGCCAAACCATATCATTCTACCCCTGACCTCTCCCAAATCTCATGTCCTCACATTTCAAAACACAATCATGCCTTCTCAACTGTACCCCAAAGTCTTAACTCATTCCTGCATTAACTCAAAAGTCCAAGTCTGAAGTCTCATCTGAGACAAGACAAGTCCCTTCCACCAAGAGCCTGTAAAATCAAAAGCAAGTTAGTTACCACCTAGGTACAATGGGAGTACAGACATTGGGTAAATACATCCGTTCAAAATGGAAGATATTGTCCAAAACAAAAGGGCTAAAGGCCCCATGTAAGTTTGAAATCCAATAGGACAGTCATTACACCTTAAAGTTTCAAAATGATTTCCTTTGACTTCATGTCTCACATCCAGGTCACGTTGATCCAAGAGGTGGGCTCCCATGGCCTTGGGCATCTCTGCCCCTGTGACTTGACTTTGCAGGGTACAACTCTCCTCCTGGCTGCTTTCATGGGCTGGCACTGAGTGTCTGCAGCTTTTCCAGGCACATGACACAAGCTGTTGGTGGATCTACCACTCTGGAGTCTGGATAATAGTGGCCCTCTTCTTATTGTTCCAGTAGGCAGTGCCCCAGTGGAGACTCTTTGTGCGGCTCCAACCCCACATTTCCCTTTCACACTGCCCTAGCACAGGTTCTCCATGAGGGCCCTACCCCTGCAGCAAATTTCTGCCTGGACTTCCAGGCCTTTCCATACACACTCTGAAATCTAGGTGGAGGTTCCCAAACCTCAATTCTTGACTTCTGTGCACCCTCAGGCTCAACACCATATGGAAGCTGCCAAGGCTTGGGGCTTGCATTCTCTGAAGCCATGGCCCGAGCTGTACTTTCATCCCTTTTAGTCAAGACTGGAGCAGCGGGGACACAGGGCACCAAGTCCCTAGGCTGCACACAGCAGAGGGGTCCCGGGAAACTATTTTTTCCTCTTAAGTCTTCAGGCCAGTGATGGGAGGGGCTGCCGTGAAGGTCTCTGACATGCCCTGGAGACATTTTCTCCATCGTCTTTGTGATTACCATTCAGCTTCTTGTTACTTAGGCAAATTTCTGCAGCCGGCTTTAATTTCTCCCCAGAAAATGTAGTTTTCTTTTCTTTCACATAGTCAGGCTGCAAAGTTTCTAAACTTTTATTCGCTGTTTCCTCTTGAACATTTTGCCACGTAGAAACTTTTTCTGCTAGATACCCTAAATCATCTCTCTCAAAGTCAAAGTTCTGCAGATCTGTAGGGCAGAGGCAAAATGCTGACAGTCTCTTTGCATAGCAAGAGTGACCTTTGCTCCAGTTCCTAACAAGTTTCTCATCTCCATCTGAGACCACCTCAGTTGGACCTTATTGTCCATTTCACTATCATCATTTCTGTCAAAGCCATTCAACATCTTTCTAGGAAGTTGCAAACTTTCCCACATTTCCCTGTCTTCTTTTGAGCCCTCCAAACTGTTCTAGCTTCTGCCTGTTATCTGTTCCAAAAAAGTTGCTTTCACATTTTCATGTATCTTTACAGCAGCACCTCACTACCTGGCACCAGTTTACTGTTTTTGTTTCTTCTCATGCTGCTAATAGAGGCATTTCTGAGACTGAGTAATTTATGAAAAAAAGAGATTTAATTGACTCACAGTTCAGCATGGTTGGGGAGGTCTCAGGAAATTTACAGTCATGGTGGAAGAGGAAGCAAACATCCTTCTTAACATGGCGGCAGCAGTAAAAACTACAGAGCAAGGGGACAGGGGAGCCCCTTATAAAACCATCAGATCTCATGAGAACTTACTCACTATGATGAGTACAGCATGATGGATGTAACTGCCTCCATGATTCAATTACCTTCCACTGGGTCCCTCCCACAACATGTGGGGATTATGGGAACTACAATTCAAGATGAGATTTGGGTGGGGACACAGAGACAAACCATATCATCTTGTTCTTAATGATTTTCTGTAATAAGCATAAATATATATGTTTGTGTGTGAGTGTATATATATTCAAATGTTCATTTCATTAATTTATCACCACTACTATAAAGGGATAGAAAAATTATATTTAAATGTTTAAAGAAAAGCAAAAATGTCAATAAAGATATATATTTGCTAAAGGCATTTAGCAAAGATGTTTGAATTTTAATACTTTAATTTTTACCAGGTTATTAGTATGTATTAATTTTCTCTCACATGCTATACTCTGTCACCTGTAGTACAAAACAATATTTTTTTCTTTTAACTTCTATTTTCACTCTGTATCTATTCCTGAGCTAATATCATGTACTCTTTGAGACTTTAAACTCCCAAATAAGTTACTGTCAATCTTGACAGAAATACCTATTTACTATGTTAATATAAACTTATAATTCCAAATATTGTAATTTATTTTTTCCATTAGATTTAATAATAATTAATGAATAAATAGAGAAGTGGTTGAAGTGAGCTATTTTGTAAATGCAAAGTACATGTACTGGGGGGCTAACTTTTACTCTTTGTTTAGAACCAAACCAAAAAAAAAAAAAAAGAGAGAGAAAAGAAGGCTTGAGACTCTAGAAATACAGAACACCATAAAGTTCACATTACCCAAATATATTTTAAATCTTTTCAACAAAGTTGAATTACATTCATTGTTAAATTGTGTGAAGTTCTTCTGTTTTACTTAGAGTTACAATCATAGCTTAATTCTGAGGACTGTTGAATTAAAAAGGAAAAGCATTTGCCATTTCTCCCATAAAAGGTGTGTTGTATTTCCCCTCCCTTTGAGGCTGCCTGGTAATCTAATGGCCTTCAATCAGCAGAACATATCCAAAGTGATGCTCTTTAAATTCCAAGGCTAGGCCTTAAGGAATCTTCTGCTTTCACCTCTCTTGAAATGCTTCTTTTTATGCAACATGAAGAGGTTTGGAAAGCCCATAGAAACTGAGGAATCCAGATATACAAGCCCTTGGAAACTGCTCACTCCCATTAAATTCCCAGTCACCAGCCCTTCCAGCTGGCATCTTCAGCTGAGCTCCCAAGCCAACATCAACAACCAACTGCAAATCATGTGACTGAGGCCATTTTGGACCTTCCAGCCCTGCTTTACCTACTCCAGCCAAAACCATATGAGGCAGTGAGGAAGTATCCCTGGCAAGCCCTGCTTAATTTGCAAAATTATGAAACAAATGAGTGTAAATATTTTAGGCCAGGGATCAGCACACATTTCTATAAAGGGTTCTATGTGGACCACATGTGATCACTGTTGTATATTTCTTTATTGTTTTTGTTTTGTTTTGTTTTAACGAGCCTTTAAAAATCTAAAGGCCACTCTTCACACATGGTGGTACATAAACAAACTGCAAGCAAGGTTTGGCCCACGAATTGGAGTTTGCCATCCCCTGATTTAAACACTAAATTTCGTGGTGGTTTGTTATGCAACAAATAGGTAGCCAAACCAGACTATATCATATAGTCTCCAGCATACTTAGATTTAAAAGGATGCATTTATTTGTTAAAATATTTGTCGTAGAGAATTGTGTTCATAACTTGAGAAACTGAACTGAGTTTTCATAGATGGTTCAATATTCTCTTCCACTTGCATGTAATTATTCCCACTGATTTTTCCTCATTTTGCTCAATAAGAATGTGAAAACAGTGCAAGTTATTTTACAAAATAATGTTTTCACCCTGACAGAGGTATTTTTTCCAAGTAATTGAATAAAATGCGAAAAATAGCTTACTTGTAATTCTAAGAAGCCCACTTTAAGCCATAACATTGTATCTAGTTTTTCCACCAATGTCCAACTGGTAGTTGTCTCTTTTGATTCCAGACTTTTAAATATATTCTTGTAAATATTAGCAAGTGTCTGCCACATTTGCTTGTCCTCTTTTGTACAAGCTGTCTCTGTTATTGACATCACAGCTCTCTCTCTTGGTGACATCACCATCCCTCATTTGCTCAAACCAAAAGAACAAAGGAAATCTTCAATGCTTCCCTTTTTCTCCTCACAGTCAAGCAATTATCTTTCAGCTAAATATTATTCACACCTATTCTTCCTCTTCATTCCAATTGACTTTGAATTTTTTTAATCCCTTCTTATCTGTGAACTGAGCTCATTACATATATTATTCCTGGCCACCAATGTAGATGCAACACAGAAATCCAAGAGAACTTGGCTTAAAATTCTTAATGGTAACTAATGGAAATTCCAGTACTCAATTTGTTAGACATGGCTATGCATAGGCATGGCAACAAATACACACTTATTAGGTTCAGTATCCTTTACATGCAGGAAACTTTTTCTCCCTTCCCTTTCAATCTTCCTGGTTATAACTTCACTGTCTGCTTTTAAGCTATTTACATTTATTCACCAAATCATCTAATATCATCCAGGAATTCCTCTGATATCAGGCAATGGCAATTTTTTCTTTGTTTGTTTAATCAACTTTCTCCAGACAAAAACATATCTATTGCTTTTTATTTTCTCCTTAATTGCAAATTCATACCTCCTAAAATATTCTTCCTGTGCCAATTAATTGCCTTTTTAGCATATAGATAGTATCCAACCACAACTTAAAATAAACCCCCATTGCCTGAAGAATGCAATCCTACTCTATAACTGGAAATGCATGCTTTTTCTTGAACTGCCCCTAATCTAGTTTAACAAATCTATCACACTTCTCCTCTGAATCTTAAACACAAACCTATCTTCAGTATTACTCAAGTTAAATATTGTCTTTCAACCTACCCGCTTTTGCACACACCGATTCCTTTTTCTATGGTACTCCCCGTCACCCTTTTCTCCATTTTGTCCAATTCTAACAATTCAGTCTAAATACTGCCTCCTCTTGCAAAACTCCAGGACACATGAGAATAATTACTTGTTCAGTTAGCTTTGTTTCCACATGACTCTTTGCATTTATTATGTAGAAAAAAATACAAACATAGAAACTCTATTTTCTCATTAGATTTTGATTCCTTCACGGAACATGGTAATGTAGTATTACAGACCCTTGAACTTAATATTTATTTGCAGGTTCTCTCTCTTGGTAAAAGAATCAATAATATTTTTCCTTCAAATATTAACTTACCCTGGTCAAGTTGCTCAGATTGAACATTACACACTTATGTATGTCCTATAAAAGTAAAATCAATAAGTACAAATAAGCTTTTTTATTACAATCAAAATAAGAAAATATGGGATGAGCTTTTCAGATTCTCTCTCCCCATGAAGATTCTCCATTTTTACAAACAGATGTCAAATGTTCCTTAAATTTGATTTTTTCCCCATTCAAACTTAATTAGATTTTACCTGATGTCACTAGGTAGCTGTATGATGCCTGTAACTATTAGGCAATTTTTAAAAATGTATGAAATCATTGTGAATCAATAGTTTCTACAATGTAGCAGGGAGAGTTCTAAGACAACCCCTGACATTTCTTTCTCCTGGTAAAATCCTCTCCTCTTGAGTGTAGGTGAAAATCTGACCTCCTTCCAACAATACAATATGGCAAAAGTGATGGGATATTATGCCACAATTAAGTCTTAATTATACAAGACTCTGTGGTGGCAGAATAGAGATAGAGAGAGTCTCCTGCTGGCCTTGAAGAAATATCCTGTAGGCTATGAATAGCTTATGGGGAGGGCCACGTGTCAAGGAACCTCAGTTGACATTTAGGAACTGAGAGCCACAGCCATACAGAGACAAGAAAATAAATTTTGCCAGCAAGCTGTGTGAGTCTGGAAACAGATTATTTTCCAGGTGAGCCTCCAGATGAGGGTGCAGCCCAGCTGAAAACATAATTGCAACCATGTGTGAACCTGAGCAAAGGACCCAGCTAAGCTGTGCCTGGATTCCTGACTCACATAAACTGTGGGAAAATACATGTGTGTTACTTTAGGACACCAAGTCTTGTGGTTATTTGTTACACAGTTTTAGAAAATTAATTCAGAACAACAATTGAACTCTAATACACATACTCATGGCTGCTAAATTTAGGCTTATGGCTAATGTGGAATAATTTTACACACCATAGTAGAAATTTCTCAGAATACAAAAAAAATCTAGAGACTATTCATGGGTTACTTTAATTATCTTTAATTAAAACTCAAAATATTGTTTAAATATATTCATTTTTGACAACATTAATTTCAGTCTCCTGCTTATGAGCTTATGAGATTTCTCTCATTTTTATATGTCTTATTTTTCTTGACCCCTCACCTCCTGCAGCAGATTTATTATGAAGCTAAATGATCCTAGCATTGTGGTCACATTTTATTAAAACATGCAACTTTAAAGTATTTTAACCACAATTGTTTAAGACTGCCGCTTCTAGCTTGCATGCTTTCCCTCTTGTGGGTGATTTTGAAATGGCTACAGTTATTTCTGAGATCCAGCTATGGAAAGATGATTTGGGATACATTTAATTAGAATTTAGTTTAATATGTTCATGTTCAGAGTAACATCTATATATTTTTAAGTTGTTGCCTATATTCCTGATGTTGTGATGTCTTCCAGAAATTCTTCTATGGCCTGGACTTCTGACTCACATAAAGTCATGACACCAAGGATTTGTATAATATGTGCTTATACAGCTCTGAATCTAATCAGGGAAAAGGCTACCTCCACACTACCTAAATTTGTCAGATTTTACTACCTTGCAGTTTCTTATATATTCTTATTTCAAGTTCAGCTAGCTGCCAATCTGGATTTTTTTTAAAGTGTAATGAGATCATCTGCCCACTTTTAAAGCTGTTCATACTTTGCAATATGGGTATAAAATCGTTTTAAGCATTCTAAAACATGTTTTCAAAATCTCAGAAGTGGAATCTAAACACAAATAAAATGCTAAATTTTATCCAAAAAGTTTATGTGGCTCAAAAATGTCATTCAATTGCAATTTGAAAGACATTTCAGAATGTTTTAATGAAACACATGGGAAATAATAGATGCCTGATTTGGAAACTTACGGAGGTTTTCCTTTTTGTTGGGTAAATATTTGCTTTTTGAAGAACTGAGAAAAAAATTTAGATTAAAAAATAAGTGGAAAGTGAGGAAATAGTAATAAATATGTTATTAAATCAAGAGAAACATTTTAATATTAAGAATTGTAGCCAACATTTTCAGGTAATATTAAATGTAGTAATGCATTAAGAGAAAGAGGTAAGTTTTAAGAAGAATTCATGTATAAGGTCTTAGCTCTTGCTAATCCATTTAAGGAAAAAATCATAAGTACATATCTTGAAAATGGACATTTCTTGTTCATTTGAAATATAATACCAATGAAGTAAACATAAAATAAATAAAGTGCTATTTCCATAAATATATTAAAGACACCATAGTTAATACTTAAGATCAGTCACTGAAGAAAAAATTTTGAAATGACCTGAAATCTTATAGTTCATATATCAAAAATATTTGATAGAATTTTCCTCACATTTGAAAACATTTCTAAAAAGTTATATGACATTAAAAATTCATTGATTTTCAAAAATACTTTTCTAAACCATTAGTAATAGTAATAAGAATATATCAACTATACTAGAGGAAAGACTGAAAATTTTTTCTCTTTTTAAAAAACACATAAAATATTTTATATTAGAACATGATCAGAATATATAGCCAAATGCCAAAAATTATTTTGGGGTTAATTAATAAAAACATGCTATTTTGTAGCTTGTAAATTTGTGAGTTTATAACACATTGTTATTTATTTTCTTATACTAACATACAGTCACTTTCATATTTTATTTTATAGTTTTTTTATTAAAATGGGCCACTCAATTTGCATAACCTTGAAGCCGACCCAACTTTGGTGTGGGGAGTGAAACAGAGTATTTTTCTTATAATTTCATGACTTTTCTAGTGAGAGGTTAGTAATGTTTTTATTTCCAGATTTTGAGTAGATACAGTTAGCATTTAGAATACCCAGTTTGGGATTTATATGTTCATTGAGACAGGTCAATTCTATTCTCTAGCCTCACATTACACAAAAGCCTAGAACAATTTTTGAATAGAGCCTTCTCAACTTGGCAAGTTTTTAATGTTCCATCTCTTGCAATAATG
Organism: Homo sapiens; assembly: GCF_000001405.40. Lineage (NCBI taxonomy): Eukaryota > Metazoa > Chordata > Mammalia > Primates > Hominidae > Homo > Homo sapiens. The sequence goes on along the minus strand of NC_000005.10, from coordinate 19,253,841 downwards.
TAAAAGAAGACAGATGACTCAGGTGAGACGTAAGAGACTTAATGATCTACTTGAGCATAATGCTTAGCAGTCACTCTTTGATATTTTTTCCTTTCTTTCTTTCTTCCTTTCTTTCTTTCTTTCTTTCTTTCTTTCTTTCTTTCTTTCTTTCTTTCTTTCTTTGCTTCCTTCCTTCCTTCTCTTCCTTCCTTCCTTCCTTCCTTTCTCTCTCTCTCTTTCTTTCTTTCCTTCATCTTTCTTCCTTTTGTTTTTCTTTCTAAGAAAACATAAATTTCCGGTGATGGTTAGGGAAGCTTAAGTAAATTTTGGAGTCAATTTTGAAGTCAATTTTGCAAAAAGTCTGTGGAATCAATAATACCCTTAACTAGTGTTAAGGGTATCACTAGTTAAGAAGATCCTCAACTAGTGTTAAGGGTATCATTGATAGGTTATCTAGAGCTTAGCTTACCTAAAGCTAAGATACAAATCCTTGACCTACTGAATGTGCCTAGATCTATACATAACATTTTGTAGTCTGATCTGTCCTAACCCTTATTTGCCTATCTTCTGCTTTTAGATTTCAGATAATCAATTTTCTTTTATATGTTTTAAGAGAGATATGCTAGGAGAGAATCCTGTGAAACATTCACCATTAGAAGAGTCAGAGGTAGTCTTTGCAAAAGCTGTGGCCTCATGGATTCCTGGGGAAATAGAGGAGGCAAAGGCTACTTGGTGTTTATTGATTTCATAGTGTTGACTTGTGTAAACCAGATTTCCATTCGAAAGGACACAGCGTGGGCCACAGTGATGTATCCATATGCTCAAGATTTTTTTAACTTTGAAAAATGAGATTTTTGTATATATTTTTATAAATAATTCTCCAAGCAGTGCAAAAGCTTTAAAACCATGCAATTTGCATCATTGCCCAAACACTCTTTATGATTTTGTAATATAATACAATACCAACTAAGGTTAGCATTTGTCATTGTTCTTTAAAGATTTCAGTTACATATATTTTAACTGTCAATAAAGCTAAGGATTTTCAATCAGAGGAAACCCATTGTTTGGGGCTCAAACAAGAGAATTAGGAAAGTTTAATCTTCCACCTTTTAATTATCCCTAAGAACTAATGTCAGATCTTCAGGTGAAAAAGAGAGGACAGGACAGAATCAAATGCACTCTACTTGTTTGAGGTCATACCAATTTTGTTTGAATTTTATCACTTCTTATTATTAACAATAGTCCTCTACAGAATAAAGACACTTCAGATTTAATATTCATCAACTCATTTCTTATCAAGTCTTTTGAGCACAATTTTTCTTACATTATTCATGTCTGCTTGAAGATTCTTGTGAGAAATTCCTTCTGACTCCTAGTTTTAAAAAGTATAATGCTACAGGGCAGATAGTTTTATTTTCATCTTATAAATATGGTGAATTGCATGAATTATAAAATTTCTGATATGCTTGCCAGAAAGCCTAGAGCTAAGACACAAAACATTCACCTACTGACTGTGCCTAGATGTATACCTAAAATTTTGTAGGCTGATGTGTTCTAACCCTTATCTGCTCCTAGATTTAAGATAAGCCGTTTTCTTTTATATGTTTTAACAAGTCACCTTAAAATCTATTTTAGAATAAACCATGATATTAAAAAACTATTATTAATAATCAAATCATGAATACAATGAAAGCTGAGTCATAGCATAAGTCTAGCTTTGTGGGTTTCTCTCACTAGTTTCCTGGCATAGCTTTGAAGTTGAGAAAATTTACCTGAATTCCACTGTGCTATTTTTAAAAACCCAAAGCTTCTCTAGTATATTTTAGTTAGAAATGTCATGTTATCCAAGGTTCTGGGATGTGCTTTGCTTAAATAGTCATGTCTACTTCACACATTAGTTTCTATGACCTAGATTTTTTAAAGCCTTGTTTGATTGAATCATTGATTCATTGATTGTTCCAAGTATTAAAGTCTTTTCATTACATACTCAATACTTACCTACCCAGAATTAATCTTGAATTAATTCTGAGGAATACTTTAAGGATTTTGTCTACAGTTGTGGAATGTTTGGATTTAAATTATGATTTCAAAGATCTATATATCCAATGTTGTTAGATTAATGTTTTATATCTTCCTTCTTATCAAAGTTTTGCTTAATTTTCTAACTCATTCACTTTCTGTGAAAATTAAAGCCATCCACTTCAGTTCAACCATTTTTGGTACCCTGTCTGATCTTTGCCAGGGCATTCTTTTGAAACTAGACCGTTTCCCAAGCTCCTACCCAGTAGTTAGATGGTTTAACCTAAACAGAAGAAACACATCCTAACACATGAATAATTGCAACAGGTACCCTATTTAGAACACCATGTTTGCTTTGTCCAGCAATGATTGATTGTCTCATATCATCAATTGAGTCACAAGATAAGAACTTACCTACAAATAGGTTCATGCTAGTAGCCTATATTTCAATTTCGTTGACTGCCTTCCCATCTTCACGGAGCAGTGCTGGCTGCTAAGTTTACAGCAAGGTCACAGAGTTATGACATCTCTTTATTCTCCTTCCTATTGGGAGAATAAACAAATGTGCTTATTTATTTACTTATTTTGAGATGGAGTCTCCCTCTGTCCCCCAGGCTGGAGTGCAGTGGCGCGATCTCAACCTCACTGCAACCTCTGCCTCCCGGGTTCACGCCATTCTCCTGCCTCAGCCTCCCGAGTAGCTGGGACTACAGGCGCCCGCCACCATGCCTGGCTAATTTTTTGTATTTTTAGTAGAGATGGGGTTTCACCATGTTAGTCAGGATGGTTTCGATCTCCTGACCTCGTGATCTGCCCATCTCGGCCTCCCAAAGTGCTAGGATTACAGGCGTGAGCCACCGCGCCCGGCCAAAAATGTGCTTTTTATTCTAAGGATGGAAATTTCTGTTTTGAAAGCAAGGATTGTTTTCATGCCAAATGGGCAAGGAACACTTACTAGCTGAGATGAGCCTTACGTTTTATCCTGAAAAATCTGGTTAAGGGCTCATCAGGTGGCCCCAGATCTGGTTACAAGGCTCATCTGATTATCTTTTGGTTTTATTTTCCCATAGCTGAGGACAAATGATGATGACAATTTTTTTTTCTAAAACTCTCTTTCTTTTTCTTTCTCTTGAGTCTTTTTTTAAAGGAGCATTCTCTCTTCAAAAAATCAAAACATAGCAATAATGTTCAAGTCCAACTTTTTCTTAATTTTCCTGTAAAAGAGGCACATTTCTTCAGTGACAGCTCTTCTTGTGCAGAATCTCTGCATATATTACTCAGGAAATTTGGAAATGGTCTCACCACCAAATATTTCCACAATTTAGTCTTTTAAATTATATATCAAACTTTTTGATTTTTCAGAGAGAAAATAGCCTCGCTGGAGGCATACTTGTTACTGTCAAGTGTGTGCTTTTCTACTAATGGCTAAAAATCAGGGTCCCTGTGCTTTACAGACTGAACAATGAGGGCGAGGAATGGAAGTGCTCCTGACTATGAAGCCAGATATGCTACAAGTAATGGCTGACAATATTTCAAGAGCTGAGCAAATAACACAGAGAAGAGACTGATGGATTCAAAACCTGTAACAGACAGATCCTTTAGACAGTTTATCTATTGAACATTCCATGGCATTTTTATACTGTGGATCACTAAAATCATCATATTAGTCTGCTGCTATTGTAGATGTTTTTCATGATGACTGATCAGAAACCATTGTAATAGATGTAAGAATGGAGAAGGATATGCTCTTCAAGGTTTTGGAAGACATTATAGCTCAGTAAGTACTGGGATGGCAACAGACCTGAAAACAACCTTGTGTCATCACTATAATTTGTTCTGGATGTTCCATCATAAGCATTGTCCTTTATAAAGAATGCCCTTTGTGATGGTTATGCTTTGCACAATATCATTTTAGTAACAAAATTAATACTTGTTGCAGTATATTAAATCTCAGTGCAATGGGGGCCCAAGAGTGTGCAAGACAATTGTGAGACTGCAGTAAATCTTTTGGAATTGATCCATTTGATTAACCAAAGTAGACTAGGTTATATTGCAAAAAGATATATCAGTGTCTCAATTCAGCAAAGGGGTATTTCTGAGTTTGGCAACATTCTAGGCAGGCACCTTCCATGTATGCATCCATGGTTCAGCTGCTTCTACCTTGTTCTTCCTCCATTTCAAATATGCATTCTTGGACACCACTAATGAGGAATAGACAGCATAGATAATTCACACTTTTCTGTTAAATACCTTGCGCTGCAAATGGCACAGATCACTTCTGCTTACGAGCCAATGGTGAATACTGGACATATGTTCCACTAACTCCAAGAGTCCAAGAGGGCTGAGAAATGTAGTCTATCCAGGTGCACAGAAAATTGAGTACTAGAAATATCTGCTACACTAATAGATGGGAAACTGAGATAATTTCCTAAATGAAGTCTTATTGGCATTAAGAAATTGATTCTGTTTTAACTATTGGGGTTTTTTTGGCTCTCATGATTTTGCATTTTATTTCATATAATCATAAAATGTTGAGTCAATCCTGCCAGGGACTATACTACACTCTGATGGGAATTTAGGTAATTTTACATATGCATTGAATTCTTAGTCACTAAGTTTAAAGATTATCTTATTTCTATTAAAAAATCGTACAATCACATGTGATTGCATTATATACTATCTAGATGTCAAAGTATCTTACGTTTATTTTCTTCAGAACCCATATTTCTATACTGTATTTCCCACCATGTGTTCTATAGGAATGGAGCAGAATTAGGCATATAATGAGGCAGTGACAAACTAGATTTAGAATTTGTGTGAGGCAACTGTCTTTTCACTCTGCAGTACAGTATTCTCACAACACTCCCATCACAAAAGCGTTGTAAAAGCTGCTAACAATCAGCAGCCTTGCAAATTCTCAGTTTTAGGCATTAACTATGAATGCCATGACGATATCTATGCAAAATTGCTTGCCATGTTTCACATTTCCTGACCAGCATCACTGGTCCCTCACTCTCTCTGAACATAAAATAGAAAGATAATTAATATGTTTTATCCCATTAAGGAACATATAATAAGAAACTTCTATTCTTATGTCTAATACCTTTATAGTATCTCATATCAAGAATTTGAGGTGCTATTTAGATTCCATGAGATTTCTTATGGGAAAAAAATCTCGGTTCTAAAATTATTTTGTTTTTATTTCTCTTTTTTTTTCCTGACTATAATATAAATGTTAAATTTATTTAAGTAATCCAAAGCACATATTTGTCCTTTGTAAAACTTTAATTGAAACAATTGTATAAAGGTATAAAGTGCATTTCCATATGTGTATTCATTGTGTAATGATCAAATAAGCGTAATGATTTGGGGGTAACATATCTGGCTAGTGAGCATGCACCCATTCTGGACACAACTTCTCTGGGCAGGACTGCTTATTCTTGGGGGCAGGGTCAACACAGGCTCCAGCGTCAGGTTGCTGGACCGATGATCCCAGAGGCTAGGGTCTGCAGTTTCTAGGATATGGAAGGCATAGCGCCTCCAAGACAGCTTGTTCTCTAGGTATAGGAAGCTGTGGCAGCTCAGTGAGTGCACTATGATGCGTGAATGTGGTGTCAATGTAGCATGGACTCAGGAATGGAAAGATGTAGTGGCTACTGGCTCCTGAAACAGGATGCACTTTAGCCGTGACTCCAGTGTCAAGATGACACCATACAGGTGCAGCTTGGGTCATGGAGTAAGGAGCGGGGCACAGTGTGGGCTTCTTCTCTGGCACAGTGCAGAGGTGTGGGTGCAAGGCAGCTCCCAAAACTAAGCTCAGTGCCTGTGGGGACTACAGGGTTCTCCATTAGCAAAGACTGCAGGTGTTTGCAATGTTGGCGGGGCTGCTGGGAGCCTCCTGCCTGCCTACCTTTTCTCTCCTGGGGAAAGTGCCTTCTTTCTCTGAGTTGAACCTGGCTGGGAATAAGATGTGGCAGAGGCAGGCTGTTTCCTTTTCTTCTTCAGACCCTCCCTAAAGGTCTCCTTCCTCTATGCATTTTATCGTTCCAACACTGTACTCCATCACTCTCAAACACTCCAATTCAAATGTGTTGGTTTAATTGTTGTTTTGATCCTTTATATGGGGGTAGGAATGTCAGGCTCCTCCATTCAGCCATCTTTCTCCACCCATGTAAATTTTATTTTTCTTGATTTTGTTGGAAGATTTATTTATATTTTTGTTGAAGAGATTTTTTTTCCCAGAGAAAATTCAGGCAGTCATTTTAATTTCTTCCATTTTGTGTGTATTCGGCTGTAAAATTAATATTAAAATGCTCATAAATCACATACTTTATTTATTTATTTATTTATTTATTTATTTATTTACTTACTTACTTACTTACTTATTTTGAGACACAGTCTCGCTCTGTCATCCAGGCTGGAGTGCAGTGGCAGAATCTCGGCTCACTGCAACCTCTGCCTCTCAGATTCCAGCAATTCTCCTGCCTTAGCCCCCTAAGTAGCTGGGACTACAGGCACATACCAACACACTCAGCTAATTTTTGTATTTTGAGTAGAGATGGGGTCTCACCATGTTGGCCAGGCTGGTCTCAAACTCCTGACATCAAATGATCCCCCAGCTTTGGCCTCCCAAAGTGCTAGGACTACAGTCGTGAGCCACAATGCCCAGCCTGATAAAATTGTTGTATCAAATGTTTGGTTAGGAAAATGTTAATGTAGGAAGAGAAAAAATAAATAAAATAAATTTAGATTTTTAAAGAATTATACGTTTTAAAATGTGTGGGTGGCATCTCTGACATATCAGATATTTGTTTTACTTTTTTTTTATCCAGTAGTAAGATATACAATAATTTGACCCATTTTGCAATTCATGGGTTATTTTTCTCAATTATAAAGACAAACTCAGCTTGACACTGAATTTTCACTGGATTCTTACTAGGCTCACCCTTTTCCAAAAGACTTGGAAATATTTATATTGATTTCAAATTTGCATAAGGTCTTCTCCTTGAGAAACTGATATTGATGCTTTAATTTTAGAAGATTATTTAATTGTTCTTTCTGATATCATAATAATGATTCATTTTTGTAATAATGTTTCTTAAAACTTCATTTGAATTATATTTTGCCTGATAATTTTTTTCTTTATTTCTTCTAAAAAAAAACCAAAAAGCGGGATACATGTGCAGAACGTGCAGGGTTGTCACATAGGCATACGTGTGTCATGGTGGTTTGCTGCACCTATTGACCCATCCTCTAAGTTTCCTCTCCTCACCCACAACCCCCCAATAGGCCCTGGTGTGTGTTGTTCCCCTCCCAGTGTCCATGTGTTCTTAATGTTCAACTCCAACTTATGACTGAGAACATGCAGTGTTTGATTTTCTGTCCCTGTGTTAGTTTGCTGAGGATGATGACTTCCAGCTTCATCCATATCCCTGCAAGGACATGATCTCATTCCTTTTTCATGGCTGCATAGTATTCCATGATTTAAATGTACCACATATTTTTATCCAGTCTATCATTGATGGGCATTATGTTGGTTCCATGTCTTTGCTATTGTAAATAGTGCTGCAATAAACATACATATGCATGTGTATTTATAGTAGAACGATTTATATTCCTTTGGGTATATAACCAGTAATGGGATTGTTGGGTCAAATGGTATTTCTGGTTCTAGATCCTTGACAAATTGCCATACTGACTTCCACAATGGTTGAACTAATTTACATTACCACCAACAGTGTAAAAGCATTCCTATTTCTTCACAGCCTAGCTTTTTAATAATCGTCATTCTGACTGGCATGAGATGTTATCTCATTGTGGTTTTGATTTGCATTTCTCTGATTATCAGTGATGTTGAGCTCTTTTCATATGTTTGTTGGCCATGTAAATGTCTTCTTTTGAGAAGTGTTTGTTCTCATCCTTTGCCCGCTCTTTGATGGGGTTGTTTGTTTTTTCTTGTAAATATGTTTAAGTTCCTGGTAAATTCTGGATATTCGACCTTTGTCAGAAGGGTAGATTGCAAAAATTTCCTCCCATTCTGTAGATTGCCTGTTCACTCTGATGATAGTTTCTTTTGCTGTGCAGAAGCTCTTTAGTTTAATTAGATTCCATTTGTTAATTCTGGCTTTGGGTGCAATTGATTTTTGCGTTTGTCATGGAGTCTTTTCCCATGCCTGTGTCCTGAATGGTATTGCCTAGGTTTTCTTCTAGGGTTTTTATGGTTTTGGGTTTTACATTTGAGTCTTTAATCCGTCTTGAGTTAATTTTTGTATAAGGTGTAAGGAAAGGGACCATTTTCAGTTTTCTGCATATGGCTAGCCAGTTTCCCCAGAATAATTTAATTAATAGAAGGTCCTTACCCCATTGCTTCTTTTTGTCAGGTTTGTTGAAGATCCGATGGTTGTAGATTTGTGGTGTTATTTCTGAGGTCTCTGTTCTGCTCCATTGGTCTATGTGCCTGTTTTAGTACCAGCACCTTGCTTTTTTGGTTACTGTAGCCTTGAAGTGCAGTTTGAAGTCATGTAGTGTGAAGCCTCCAGCTTTGTTCTTTTTGGCTAGTATTGTCTTGGCTATATGGGGTCTTCTTTTATTCCATATGAAATTTAAAATAGTTTGTTCTAATTCTGTGAAGAATGTCAATGGTAGTTTGATGGGAATAGGATTGAATCTATAAATTACTTTGGGCAGTATAGCCATTTTCATGATACTGATTCTTCCTATCCATGAGGATGGATTTTTTTTCCGTTTGTTTGGATCCTTTCTGATTTCCTTGATAAGTGGTTTGTAGTTCTCCTTAAAGAGGCCTTTCACATCCCTTGTTAGCTGTATTCCTAGGTATTTTATTATCTTTGCAGTGATTGTGAATGGGCATTAATTCATGATTTGGCTCTCTGCTTGCCTATTGTTGGTGTAAAAGAATGCTTGTGATTTTTGCACATTGATTTTGTATCCTGAGACTTTGCTAAAGTTGCTTATCAGTTCAAGAAGTTTTTGGACTGAGATGATGGGGTTTTCTAAATATAAAATCATGTCATCTTCAAACAGAGACAACTTGACTTTCTTTCTTATTTGACTACCCCTTATTTCTTTTTCTTGCCTGATTGCCCTGGCCAGAACTTCCAATACAATGTTGAGTAGGAGTGGTGAGAGAGGGCATGCTTGTCTTGTACCAGTTTTCAAAGAGAATGCTTCTAGTTTTTGCCCATTCAATATGATATTGGCTGTGTGTTTGTCATAAATAGCTCTTATTATTTTGAGATAAGTTCCATCAATACCTAGTTTTTGAGAGTTTTTAACATGAAGGGATGTTGAATTTTATTGAAGGCCTTTTCTGCATCTATTGAGATAATCATGTGGTTTTTGTGCATGTCTTTAGTCCCAGCTACCTGGTAGGCTGAGGTGGGAGAATCACCTGAGCCCAGGTGGTTGAGACTGCAGTGAGCCGAGATCATGTCACAGCACTCTGGCCTGGGCAACACAGTGAGACCCTGTCTAAAAAAAAAAAAAAGAAAAGAAAAGAAAAAAAAATCCATGTAAAGTGTTAATCTGGTAGATATCATAGATAAAAGCACTTTAAAATGCAATCAACTTAACGTAAGAATAATATATTTCTATTTTTCAGTCAGAATTTTGTTTTATTTTTTTCCTAATATATAGATCCTAACAATCAAAATGTTGTAATAATTAGCTTGAGAATGTACAAGGAGATGAATATCTTTATAAATTCCATGACTAACTTATGGAACATCATTTTTTATAAATTAAGTTGGAGATACTTCGATTCAAGAAAGCAGATGTTTCCATCAACTTCAGTAGAAACAGAGTTAGACTTGAGAATAAGAACTCTTTTTAATCTTATGACCAGGAATGTACTGAAAGTCAATTGTGTCATAAAGATCATCAAAGTCTCAGTGGATTGTTTTGTTTTCATTTAAAATCCTGGACTTTATATCTAGTATTAATCAGCAGGAGTGAAGAAAGGTGAAAACAGCTTTCTGTTTAGCTTCTATTAATCATTTCAAATCATTTTTTCTCAATTTCCTTAGGGAAACTATAGGTTTGAAACAATGTGGGGTTACCCCTACTCTCTCTCCTATATACTTTTATTATTATTATCATTATTTTTTCTTTTTGAGATAGAGCCTCACTGCATCACCCAGGCTGGAGTGCAGTGGCACAATCTCAGCTCACTGCAACCTCCACTTGCTGGGTTCAAGTGATCCTCCTGCCTCATACTCCTGAGTAGCTGGGACTACAGGCATGTGACAGTATGCCCCGTTTATTTTTGTATTTTTAGGTACAGATGGGGTTTTACCATGTTGGCCAGGCTGGTCTTGAACTCCTGACCTCAAGTGATCCACCTGGCTAGGCCTCCCAAAGTGCTGGGATTACAGGCTTGAGCCACCACACCTGCAACACTTTTATTGGTAAACCGTTGAAATAATTGACAGCTCACATGCTTTTTAAAAGAAGATAGTAATTAAAAGCAACACACTTCCAGCAGACCATCTGCTGTCCACAAACATCATAGAAAGCCATCCTAAACTTGAAATGATGGTTTAAGTTAAGAGCAGTTTATCTCTCAAGTTTTAGTGAGGGAGAAACAATTTTTTTATATCTACTTAAGAAATAGCACAGATTTTAAAATAATATTGAAAGAAGGCTTAGAGATCTTAATAAGCACAGTATGGGTAAGCTTAAATACTATCTTTTATCTTATAAATATATATTTTAAATATTTCAAAATAAATAACAAAGAAAGCTTCCTGTTGTCTATTGTCCCCAGGTTATCGGCCTGTTTTTATTCTCATCTTTTCCTTTGGGATTTTCTAAGATGTCTGTTTACCTGAAGGGGCCATTTTAATAAGGAGCTATCAGCACTTTGTTTTTTTAACAAGCTATCTCATAAACAAAACTATTTTGTTTCCATGTGAACCTAAAATTATTAAGATTTAGGCCATGAACCTACTTTTTTCAATTAAAAGATATTTTGCCTTTTTATTAGGCCAATATACTACTGAACTGAATGCCTTTTCAAAATACAACTTAAATTGCTCTTTTATTGGCCGTGTTTAAATGATGCATGGTATTAGATGTTAGAGTTTGTTGTGAAAATTAATTGGATACTTCTAAATACGTGGTTGCTTTATCACTTTCACTCTTGTAAAAATGAGATGTTGATTTTTACTGAATCTTCCTTGATATTAAATCTTTAGCATAAATGATTCAAATTCCTTGTCATCTAATAGAGCTTACTGTTTAATACACAAGACAATTTTTGGTGTCAAAAATAATATGATCTAGTGAACTTGGTATAGTGGTCTCTTCTCTTTAGTAAACTATGACAAATTTACATTTTAGTATAAGTAGACTTTCAATTTCTGTCTCCTTTCAGTATTTTGCTGTAGTAGCAAAATAGTTTCTTAGCAAGGGAAGAAAAAGGATTAACTTGACTAAAACCCAGTTAAAATGCAAATGAAATGAATTTCTGGGCAATAAAGCATGCATTAAGCTGGAACCCTAATGAAGATAATAGTAAAAAGCCCCTAGAATATTTTATGCACCTCTATCTACTTCATCTTTATGCTCATTCAGATGTAAGACTTCCAGTCATTTTAGAGGCTTTGCATTTCTGTTTGCCACAAACATGATTAACAGCTTTATTGCTCCATTTTATCCAGAGACATTCTCGGACCTACTTCATTTTGCTCACTGAAAACCAAACCATGAAAGCAGAAAAACAAAATCATATCTTGTTTCGAAGATTTATGTTCATTTCATAGGAATTGCTAAAAGTCAGTATATAAAGGTGGTATATAAATTGGCTAAGTAACATGAAGTATCAAAAGAATGTTTACATGGAAAACAAAAGAAAATTTAATGTTTATGTAACATTAACATCTGAATTATTAGGATAGAAATAAGAGGGGATGGTTTTGTCAGAGGCATTTGAACCACAGTGACTCCATCTTGAGTAGGGGATGGGTAAAATGAAGCTGAGAACTGCTGGGCTGCATTCCCAGTGAGTTAGGCATTCTGACTCACAGGATGAGATAGGAGATTGGCACAAGACACAGGTCATAAAGAGCTTGCTGATAAAACAGGTTGCAGTAAAGAAGCTGGCCCAAATCTACCAAAACCAAGATGGCAACAAAAGTGACCTCTAGTCATCCTCACTGCGCATTATATGCTACTTACAAGGCATTCACATGCTAAAAGATACTCCCACCAGTGCCCTAACAGTTTACAGATACCATGTCAACTCCAGGAAGTTACCCTATGAGGTCTAAAAAGGGGAGGAACCCTCAGTTCCCAGAATTACTCTCCCCTTTGCCAGAAAACTCATGAATAATCTACATCTTGTTTAGCATATGATCAAGAAATAACCATAAAAATGGGCAACCAGCAACCCTCGGTACCGCTTTGCCTATGGAGTGGCCACTCTTATTTCTTTACTTTCTTAATAAACTTGTTTTCACTTTATGGAATTGCCTGGAAATCTTTCTTGTGCAAGATTCAAGAACCGTCTCTTGGGATCTGGATCAGGACCCCTTTCCTGTAACAGTTTCTTCCTATAAAAAGAGACATTGATCCCTGTTATCACCCTGTAGGTAGAGCTTAGCCACTTGTGGGCTGAGGAGGAGAGTCTTTTCATATTGCTGATGGATTTTGCTGAGCCAGGTACCCTTTCTGAGGAGACAAACCACAGTTTAAGCAAACACAACTAGGTCATTTCTTTTACCTTGTTAGACCTATTCACATTTTGCTCAAAGGCTTTTTAAAAATTCAGAGGATTTTAATATATCATCCTATAAAATAATTGTATAATCTATTATTATAATAGATCATAAAAGAGTATGGTCATTATGGAGTAAGTACTATTCCAGAATCATAAAATGTTAATAAGCGGTCAAGGTCAAGAAAATATAGGATAGGTTGAGAGTTAAATCTACAGAAGCTGGCACATTGTGAGTTGAAATAGCTGCAAAAGATTCATGAAGTCTATTCCATGCCAAGAACAGTATCCCTGAAACTAATTTAAATAATTAGTTTTACTATTTTCATGTTCACCCTTTAGAAAGCATATGGTATAGCCTCAATGATTATAGCAATAAAAAAGGACCATTTGCTAGTCATAGCAATGCTGTGACTACGAGATGTGAGGTCAAATAGAGCACAAGAAAGTAGTCTTGAAACTAAAAGCCATAGAAATATGTCATTTAATGTGCATTATCCACTTTTATGTGCAGTATGCTTTTGATATTGAAAAAAAAGTATTTTGGCCTTGACTATAAGTTTTCATCTATCAGAGAGAAAAAAAAAAGTCATTGAATTAGCTGGGGCAAATGAATTACTGAGAGGGTGGCCCCATCTACTTATTCTATTTGATAGACAATCTGTGAAATCTCTTTCTGAGACCAGAAGATTAACTTTGGTAACTGCTTCATGAATCAACGATCCTTTATCAAGTACATGCTCTGTCCTTTAGGAAATACAAAGTGCATTGCTGCCTGATGACTCAGATGGCACTTTAAATAGCTCAGGAAATGGAACTCTTTTATTGTCCTTGTTAAATTATTCTTTCTACAGTTAGAGTTGAAATGTTATTCTACCATAAAATATGTACCTATATACTCATTTATATTCATATAATCATAGAGTGCTTAATCTTAGCTTCTTCGGAACAATTAGTTCTATTTGAGTTGTGCTGGGGGTCATGCTCTTTCCTGCTGTTTCTACCTGCTCTATGTCTACCTTCTTTCTGCGTTCTTCCCCATTATTTAAGAGAAGAGTCCTCACATGAATAAGGCTTTATTGTGCTTATCCGAAGCAGCAGGGCTTTGTCTCTGTGAAATGTTTCTACTTTGAATGTGTAATGTAACTTCTATTCTTTATGTTTCTCTACTATTTCATTCCTTAGTGGTGGTGGGAACAAGCTACATTATGAGTGAATTCTTGATATGTAGGTTATTGGCTTGGAGACCAGAGGTGAGAGCGCTTGACTAAACACCAACGCCATTCTTGATTGCCTGACTCTTTTCCCCACTCACATCCTTACATGTCTAATATCACTGCATTTGTTGGAGAACTTCTGCCCTTCATTCAGTGTTATATATCCTTCTGGTAAACAATCCAATCAAGGTGCCAGTGTCATCATGCTCATCCTCTATGCTGTTAATCAGCTGGATGAGCATAGGATCAGGCATAATTATTATGACAAAAATTGATGCACAGAATTTGGATCAAATTATATCTCAGGGAGGTTGTAGAAATGTATGCTATTCAATACAGAGGCTTTAGGCATAAAAGCATAAACAACATTACTTAAAATTAAGATACAGATAATTCTTTCAATTAATAAAAATTGAGTAATACTTACAATTTGGTAAGTTCTGAAAAGGAAAAGAGTGCTGTGCTACTAATAACTTTTTCCTTGCCACAATGTTTTCCACACATTTGAGACTTTTAACGAACACTAGATATAGTTAGGTCAATTGCTTTGAGATTTCACTATATTGGATAACATATGTGTTAATGGGAGTAGTTTAAAAATATTATGATAATAATAACAATCAACTTATAAAACCTTCCTGGTGATTTTTAAAAATTCTTAATCAATTTTATTACTCAATAGCCAATAAAGTTAAATTTAACACAGACATCCAATTTCAAATATCTGATATAAATTATAATGCTATGCTAATATATGGGATATAAATTAAAGCCTAAGTGATATATTTAATTCAAGATATTCTTTGCAGCAATAGCATATGATTGCCATGGAATCCCATTACAGTTAACAACAGGAAGCTTTCATGTGCCTATCAGAAGAACATGAGAATTGTTTCTATGAGCCCCTTTCTGCTTGTAGCATTCTCAAACCCTTTCCCCTGCCCACACCATTCACATGCTTACCTCCTACAGCCATCTGTGCCTAACACCTGATTCAGACCCTTCTGCATACACCCATCCAAACAATACTGATGCCTGTGACGGGGGGCCTTTCCATAATACTCACAAGGTCAGTGTCTTACAGTGCCTGGCATCATGGGAATTCCAGACATTTTCACTGATGTATTTTGTCTTCTCTTTTTCACAGCTACCTTCTTTTACCATGAGTTTCAGCCCTCCCCACAGAAAAAGTGTGTCAGATTTTCAGGTGCCCTAAGCCTTAAAGCTTCTACCTATTATCTACTTTGATCTGGATCAGAGTGGGATAATGGAATCTTTTCTTCTCAAAACACACAGCATCGGGGTGGATAACGATCCCTGATGGATGTTCATCTTCCCAACATGCCTGGACTGTGGGCAGGATCATTCAAACAGTGGAGTGACAGGGAGGTGAGGATTGTCCGGGAAGCCACTCATGCTAACCTCACTAATATAAACAAGTTTTCAAGACCCCCACGTTCAGGGACCTGGAAGAGAAGCCACGTATGAAACTGTTCCAAATGAGGCAAAAAGGTGAGCTGTTTCTAAGCCTATACTGAGAGAGAAACTTAAATGGAAGAAAAAATAGTCCAGAGGCTTTAAATGTGTAAATGAGTGAGTCGTATAATAGTGGATGTTGAGACAACCTAACAGAGTTAATACTTTGAGGGAAAGAGGCGAAAAACAGAGCCGAAAATGATTGGAGTCAAATAATTGTCACCATTAGTTCAAATATTTATATTTTAATACGTGGTTAAGATACTCAGGGGAGGGAATCCAGGTGCTTCTGTACTACCTACTTTTTGGTTGTTCTTTTCCCTTGACTCTGTTACAACTACTTTTTCTTCTCACTTAACTGTTCTGCATTTTTTCCTACCTTCACTCTCTCTCATGGGACTTAGCTAACAGCCTCAAGAATGCTTTCTCTCTATGAAATGTGTCTTCTAATTTTAATTTGTTTGTGTTCTTTGTGTTAATAAGTCACTTATATCATTAATGGTGATAATTTACATCGAACATTCTAAATGAGATGTATGTGAGTTATTAGCTGGAATCTTTTGACTGTATTGTGGCAAAGGATGGTGAAAACCTGTATTTAGAAAGATTTTATAGTAAGGGACCTTCATTTTTAATGATTAATGAAAGAGAAAAAATAATATCCTGATCCCTCCACAGGAATTTACATTTAATTGGTAAAAACTTACATCAAATAATATCTTCAAACCCCACTGATGTTTGTGTTTAAAGTACAGTGAAGGATTTAGAATGTCCCCACTCAACTCTCCTATAAATAAGTGTGTGGCAGGTTTTGGTCATGATTGTAATAGAGATAGAGATATAACTCTTTTGTTTGACATATGTAGTATTGCCATGTGCTAAAATATGAAATGAGATCTGGAGATATCTTCTGACTAACAAATGGTTTCTGAAATTTTAATGGTAAGATATAAATTATGTTGTAACAGAATTTTTAAGAGAGCAGATAACTTCTAATATTTAATCATATAATATTTTGCTTCAAAAATAGGATAAACAGATTAATTGATTTCATGAGCAAATGAATCCTAGTCAAATGTGCGTGGTTTACACAGAACCATCCAGGGTGGTCCAGGAGATGAGAATTTTCTCCTCTGTAAGCATTCTTTTCTGCCATGCTTGCCTGTACATGGACATTTGTAGAAACATTTTTGTTTTGACTTACCTATTTGCTTAAAATTTTCTATTGTATTTATTTTTGGAAGTAGAATGTTAATGTTATACAAATAATCTAATAATTTTGGCAAACATACAATCAAAGTAGGGGGATAGTATAGAGTTAAAGCATGGCTGCAAGAATACAATTCAAAAAGTGGTATTTTATCTCCTTATTAATATTCATCATTTAACACTGATTAAATGTAAACACAATTAGTCCCACAATTTGTAATATCTAATTTTGCTTTTTAGTACTATAAATGTGGAGGAGTTTCACTCTTTTGTTTAATGTTATTCATTTACAAAATAAAAATTTAAATTAATAGTCTGGCTGGATTATTGAATTTTTTAACATAACACTATTTGAGAATATAGTCTACTCTTACAAACTTTTTAACACTGTACAAGGTTTTTTTATATATAATGTCCTTCTTTTGCTCTCATTTTGCCTGCTATCTTTCTTTGGTGTAACTTGTTCTAATGTGTGTAGAAGCTATACTTTTTAATCTTCCATGTAGCCATCTTTCTTCATTTTTATTCACAGGTATTTTGAATAAGAAAGTTTTTTAATAATGTATTTATAGAACTGTTTCACTCCATCCATACCACATGGAGAATGCCTTGGGATGAGATTTAAATTTATTTTAATAAAATATTGGTAATATTAATCATTGTCTAATCCAACTCAGTTTTTGTTTCTGCAATGTAAAACTCTGTAACTTAAAAGCCACTTTATGGGACACCTGTTTTATACCATTTCTGATCTCCTTTCCCCCCCTCCCTCTGGTAATCCAAATGTTGCTGTGGTAAGCCACTCTACATGGGCTGTAGTCTACTTTACCTAGTCACCACCTGACATGCCTTGCTATATGTCAGGATCCTATGCTTCTTGTTCTAGAATGTATTTGAGAGTTCCAAAATGCATTTTATGTAGGCTCTTTGGGATAGAGCAAGATATTAAAAAGCTCAACATTGTATCATTGGTCCTTACTTCTTCTTGGATTTATGCATCTTAGTAAGTAAAAGAAAAGCACATAAGTCCTCTACTTCACACTCTACTTTGTAGATAACCTATGTGAAGAGAGTTGGAACCAGAAATGGCCCTAAAAAGTAGATCCTAAGGATCAGAGTTCACACATGAATTACTAAGGAGCCGAGCTGAGCTCCTTAGTAATTCATGTGTGAAGGAGGTAAGTGTGTGGTGGTAAAGTCTGGCATTCAATGTAATACAAGTATTGTGACTTTTACTTGTGCTTAATGAGGATGGTGTAAATAGGAAAGTAAGCCATTGTGATGCTCATTTGCTGGGCACTTGACCTGTATGGGAGAAAGAAGTAAAGATGACAAGCTGACTTTGTTTAACTGATTGGAACATTTTTAAAAATTAAAATGTTAGACTCAGAGCAGCAACATTCAACTAAATGCATACAGAGGAGGACATAAGGTCTCTAAGGTAACTTTCAAGCAGATTATGATCTTCTGTAGCCACAGAAAAGTCTGTGCTGAAAATCAGGCCAAGGTTCAAAATATAAAAGTGACAGACCTATGAAGTCTTCACAGATCTCCTTTGTCAAAGTCAAGGTACTCTGGAAAAAAAAAATGTGAGACTCAAAGCTGGAATAGGTTATATGAGTGACAAGCCGAAGAAGCTTACATTCCATATGTCCCTTGGACATTTCAAGGAAGGTTCAAAATGTGCACATTTAAGGTCATGGTAATGAAGAATTTTGTCTCTTGTGGGATTAAGGTCTTAATATCCATTAACAGGAAGCAGCTCAGACCACACTAATTGCTCACCAAGTCTGAGGATATATTAGTCAGAGTTCTCTAGAGGGACAGAACTAATAGAATAGATATATGTATAAAGGAGTTTATTAAGGAGTATTGACTCACACGATCACAAAGAGAAATCCCACAATAGGACGTCAGCAAGCTGAGGAGCAAGGGAGCCAGTAGGGGTTCCAAAGCCTCAAAAGTAGGGAAGCAGACAGTGCAGCCTTTGGTCTGCAGTCAAAGGTCCAAAAGTCCAAAAGCTGAAAAACTTGGAGTCCGATGTTCGAGAGCAGGAAGCATCCAGCATGTGGGAAAGATGTAGGCTGGAAAACTAAGCCAGTCTAGTCTGTCCACATTCTTCTGCCTGCTTTATTCCAGCCTTGCTGCCAGCTGATTAGATTGTGCCCATCCAGATTGAGGGTGGGTCTGCCTTTCCCAGTCAACTGACTCAACTGTTAGTATCCTTTGGCAACACCCTCACAGACATACCCCAGGAACAATACTTTGCATCCTTCAATCCAATCAAGTTGACACTCAATATTAACCATTACAGAGGGTAATCTAGAACTTGTAGCAGAGGAGGAAAAAGATAATGGATATTACTACAATCTGTGATGAGTTACAATAATGGGGAATGTAGCTTGCCTGAAGGCTTTTAGTTATTGCATATGGCTACCACTTTAAAGCAAATGTTTTTTATTGAACTTTTTCTTCCACTTTTGTTAAAAAAAAATCTCGCCATTCTCCTGCCTCAGCCTCCTGAGTAGCTGGGAGTACAGGCACGCACCACCACACCCAGCTAATTTTTGTATTTTTAGTAGAGACGGGGTTTCACCATGTTGGCCAGGATGGTCTCGATCTCCTGATCTCGTGATCCACCCGCCTTGGCCTCCTAAAGTGCTGGTATTACAGGCGTGAGCCACCGCGTCTGGCCCAGTTTTTCCTTTTTGTATTACCAGTTGTGACATCTAACTGGCTGAGTGTCTTGAATACACTTTTCAATTTGAGCCTTGCCATAATTGCCTTTTAAGAGCATAGCATCATCTTCTGTCGCAATGACCTCTCCAATTTCTTCTAAGTCATGAGGCTCAACAACTTCCAGATTTAGGGTGAACCCCTCTTGTTCAAACACTTCACCACTAATAGCAGTAGTCTTATCTTTAAGCTTGTTCTTTCAATTGTCACCAAAACCTGGAGCTTTGACAGTTACAGCCTAGAGACCAACTTTTATACTGTTCAAAACATTTTCAGCAGTTATGACCAAGGGTTTGACCACTGGCAATTTAAAGACCAGGTATAATGGACTGGACACTGGAAATTTCCTTTTCACTCAATAGAACATACACATACTGAAATTCACATACTATTATTCACAGTAAAATACACCTTTGATGTATTAATAAAGTATGGAGAAATATAGCCTTGATCAAACTTCATGCCTTCCATAATTTCTAGTTCATCATTCAATGTTTTTCCATTATTTACTGTAATGACACCCTTTCTTCCAGCATTATTCACTGTATAAGAAATATGTTGCCAATTTCTTTCTCTCTGTTTGCAGAAATTGTAGCATCTTGAGCAGTTTCTTCAAGAGTTGTCACTGGTTTAGACTGATTCTTAAGTTCAGCAATTACAGAATCAATAGCTAACATAATACGTCTCCTGATTTCCGCTGAATTAGCACTTTTGCTAATTTTTCTCTTTCTTTGACAATAGGGCATGCCAGTACAGTAGCAGTGGTGGTGCAATCCTCAACCTCTTCAATTCTGTTATTGGAAACATCTTGAACAGGTTTAGCTCCAATATTTTCATATTTATCTTCTAAGTTAATTGAGTGTGCCACAATCACTCCATCTTTTGTTACTTTAGGTCTTCCCCAACTCTCTTCAATAATCACTATTCTTCTCTTTGGCTCCATTGTAACAGCTAGAGCATAGGCTTAAAGTCATATAACTTGAAGCATTAAGGCTCGGGCTTCTACACCAAATTTCACATCTTTAGCATAAGCCCAAGTGACAGGAGAAGCTAGTACCCTGGACACAGGTCTCATTTGGTGAGAGACTGTGAATAATCAAACCATTTCTGTAAGGCAGTGGCAGGGAGCATGCACATTGAGGCAGGTGATTATCAGCAAGTGAGGGCCAAAACCTCTTAAAATTGTGATTATCAAGTTATTATGTACCATAGGAGAAAATCTTTGGAAACAGATGTATAGAGTCAAGATAAATTATTTAAATAAATTATGATAAATATTAAAAAAGAACATGCACTGATTAAAATTAACATTATGAAAGTTATGTACATATCCTTGATATGATCTTAGGGGAACAATCTGTTAAAGTCTGGATATAGTGTGTGATATTTGTTTGAAAGATATACCAAAATATAAAATATAGATATGTATGATTTTTGTAGAACATTTTCTTATTTTGAATGTGCTTTTCATTTTTGTTTGTTGTAATAAATTATTCCATCTAAATAAGATAAACAAATAGCATAAAGAATCTGATTCTATGTGTAATAATTTATCTTTGACAACTAAAATATTTTTTTCAAAGAAAATAATCATTTTTTCAAATACTTCACAGTAGATAAATACTTATGTTCTTCCCTTACCCAGTGGTGGCCAAATACTTTTTTCTCTTATCAAGTAATGTTTGTAACAGATTGCATCAGAGATCTTCAAAAGCATTGGTATCTAGTCTTAGCAACATTTCCAGAATTTGCAATGGAAGCCAAGTGGTATATTTTAAGAAGACAACACCTAGTTGGCATATTTGTAGAGTTGTTATCAAATGCAACAATACTAAAATGTGAAAAATAATCTTAAGACTTTGTTGTTACATTTACTTTTCGTATTTATTTGCAAAAAAATCTAAAATTGCATTCAAATGGTGTGAGCAAGCATTCTACTGATTCTTAATTTAATATCCCATCGTCCAGCCTCCTCCCTAATCTTTCTATTAATATATTTATCAGATGTCATTCTGTACTTTAAACATAGATATTTTCTCCAAAGTGCTCCTTCAACCATTAGTATTTTCTGTCTCTTTCGTGACAACATCAATTTTGCAAAAAATAAAATGCAGTATTGCCTGAGAAAAAAGGCAAAAATGTGTGTGTTTTTAATTGTTGAAGTCACATGTATAAGATATTAAAGCTAGGTCCAAGATCTCTTAATTGCTATATATTTCATATGACTATGACTCTGTTAGAAGAGGCTTGCTTCAGCACAAACCCAAGTTTCTACTTCCTGGGAAAATATCTATATGCCTTCAACTACCAAGAATAAAGTCCTGTGGTAGAGATAAAATCAATTTCTAGAAATTATGATGAAGACCTAATGCATTACATTTTGTTTCCTAGCATCTTTCTAGCTCTTTCTCAACCAATAGAAGAGCCACAATTTATAGCTATGTAGACATTTTTGACATATTTTTTCTATTATTTCTGGAAATGCCATGGTCAATGGCAAGTAAACCCAGATAAACCATTTCTGGAAGTTCAGGCAATAGAAAAATTAACTACTGGCAACTGATTTGAAAAACAATATTATGTGCTTCCAACAGATAAAGACATGAAATATATATTGTATGCAAATACCTTACAAAGGAACAAATCAACTGAAGAATTACCAGATTGGGCATTGATTGATATTTCAATACTGCTTATTGATTAGCAAAACCATAACCACTGTTATCTTTTCTTACAGACTTTTGAGATCAATTGCCTAACCAAGGATGACTGCAAAGACTAGTATCACGAAAAAATGTGTTCTTGGCACAATATTGTCAAGACCAAAAGTGTTTTACCTTTAGTTTTCTAGGTATTGTTTGTATGTTACAATATAAATGTTATAATACCCTGATAAGTGTTTTTCTGGTCTACTTATAAAGAGTTGAGATTTTATTAACCCGAGAGGCAAAAACAAATGGCGACATAACTTTCCAAAATTAGGATATGGATGGGTGCACCACTGATATGGTTTGGCTCTGTGTCTGCACCCAAATCCCATTTCATATTGTAATCCCCACATGTCGAGGGAGGTGCTTGGTGGGAGGATATTGGATCATGGGGATGGTTTCTCCTATGTTGTTATCATGATAATGAGTGAGTTCTCACAAGAGCTGGTGGTTTTAAAAATGTTTGACAGTTTCCTTCTTGTGCTGTCTGTCCTGCCTCCATGTAAGATGTGCCTGCTTCCCCCTTACCTTCTGCTATGATTGTAAGTTTCCTGAGGCCTCCCCAGCCATGTAGAGCTGTGTCAATTAAACCTCTTTTGTTTACAAATTAAATTACCAACTCTCAGGTAGTATCTTTACAGCAGTGTGAAAATGGACTAACACAAAAACTCTTTTGGAATGTCTAATGATTACAATAATGAGCCACATTTTCCCAGCTATTGTAAATAATAGTAATACTACTGTTACTGATAGTACTAATGACAATATGTATTCATTTCAGCCATCAAAATGTATATGCACCTTCTCTCAAAAAATCTCATTTAAATGGCAGGAATATATTCAGCTGTCTATCTTGAAAGATACAGAAGAAATCTGTAAAATGTAATACACCAGAAAGATTTTGGAATTCCCCAGATATAAAAGGAATTGTTGTTAAATTCCTAAGTTCTGCCATTTCATAGAAAACTCCAGAGCTGCAAGCTCAATGTTTGCCTTGACAATTACTGGACATGAAGGAATGTCCTGGAGAGCCACCCTGCAGGTAGCATGCATGTTGAGGACTTTTATCTTGGAAGATTTCTTGGTAAGTCCTTGAAGTTCATTTATAAATCTGTTTGCCACACGTGAGAAATTCTTCTAATGCAGTTAACAACTCCCTAGAATTCACCTCAATGGTTCTCAGTACTTAACATGATTAAGAAACTTATTAGATGTGTTGTTTACATAAATCCATATCTGGGCCTAGGCATCTGCATTTTGACCATAAAAATAGGTGATTTTTATGCAGGCAGCCTAGTGTCCACATAAAAACTTAGACCTAGATTATTTTTTCTATGTGATTTGTCACATCTCAAATTTTTAATGAATTAATTTGTTTTTACTTTTACACAGTGTCTAGTTCTGTTGCCCTGGAGTGCAGTGCAGCTTGAAGTGCAATGGTGCAATCATAGCTCACTGCAGCCTTGAATGCCTGGGTCCAAGCAATCCTCCTGCCTCAGCCTCCTGAGTAACTAGGACAACAGGTGTGCACCACCACACCTGGCTAAATTATTGTATTTTAAATTGTTTGCAGAAACAGTGTCTTGCCATGTTGCCCAGGCTGGTCTCAAACTCCTGGTTTCAAGTGATCCTCCTGCCTTGGTGTCTCAAAATGCTGGGATTACAAGAGTGAGCCACATACCCAGCCAGTTCTCAGCTTTTTATGCTTATATTTTTTTCCTGAAAATCTTTATGTCTATCTTGAATTTCTGGACGACTTTTAGCACCATGATTGGAAAGGTTCGTATTCAGATATTTCTAATTAGGGCTTATCATCTGTATATTGGACTAACTGCATTCACATAGAATGGAGCTTTTCTGAAGTGAAGTTGATAGCAACTCTGCCAGATTGGTTGAACAGAGATCAACCTCACTTTTCATTGAAAAAAAAATAATTACCAGAAACATAAAATAACCACTTATAACTTAACTTACACTTTTTATTACAGAAATGTATTTAAATATATTACCTTATGCTATTGAAGTTTTATGTCTAAAATTATTGAATTAATACAAATCTTGGTTATCGGTGACAGAATAAAAGCTTCATGAAAGTAGGTACTATTGTATCTCTAGCGCCTGGAAGTGTGCCTGATTAAAAAGTAAGGAAGAATGAAAACAAAATAATAAAGTAAAAAAAGGGAAAGGGAGGTAAGAGGAGGGCAGGGGAGGAGGAGATGAGAGAAGACAAAAGGAAAGGAAAAGGTAAAGATAAGGAAAGGGGAAAGGAAAGTAGAAAGGAAAGAGGAAAGAAAAGGAAAAAGGGAAAAAAAGATTACCAGTGCAGCTAAGTGTGTAACTGATTAAACTAAAATATCCCTAGGCATTTTTTTCCCAGCAGGAAAAACACATTTAGTGTAACTCCTGTGTTTCAGTATAGCTTTTTTTTTTTTTATCCCAATGTCTTTTCCTATACTTAAAGAACCCTAGACAGCTATTTATTTTCCCTAATACTCCATTGTGAAGCGCTTTCCTCATCCTGGAGTGCATTTGAATTAAAGTACCATATGCTATTCTGAAGAGCTTGTTTCTATAAAGTGTTCATTATGATCGTGAGCACCCTTTTTCAATTTTTGTTGCTGCTGTGTGGTACAGTTGGAGCCAAACTAAATAATGTGAGAATGAATGTGTATTCGTGTGTGTTTTTGTGTGTGTGCATGCATGTGCGTGTGTTTTCTTGACCTATAGCTGTATCTTTCCATACGATTCTATTTTACTGATTTCAAAGACGTATTGCTAATACATCAATTTGTTTAATTCAAATGATTGATCAAAGTGAAATGTAATATAAATGTACAAAGCTTTTAAGAATCAGATATGTAACTGTAGAACTTTAAATTCAACTGATGTGTAAAAGAACAATGTAAAAACATATATTTGAAGGGATATTCAATCTTCTGCAGTAATAAATTAGATTTTGGCTGGGTGCAGAGGCTCATGCCTATAATCCCAGCACTTTGGGAGGCCGAAGCAGGCAGATCACAAGGTCAGGAGATCGAGACCATCCTGGCTAACACGGTGAAACCCCATCTCTACTAAAAATACAAAAAATTAGCCGGGCATGGTGGCGGGCGCCTGTAGTCCCAGCTACTTGGGAGGCTGAGGCAGGAGAATGGCGTGAACCTGGGAGGCGGAGGTTGCAGTGAGCCGAGATCGCGCCACTGCACTCCAGCCTGGGCAACAGAGCGAGACTCTATCTCGAAAAAAAAAAGAAAAAATTAGATTTTATATGATTTTAAAAATATTTTTTGGTGTGTGTGCATGTATGTAAATCAGCTATCCCTTTTGATTTCAAAGAAGTAATATTTTATTCACTTTCAGTTGTTACTGCATGATCCCAAATCACCTTGAGTTATTTCCTTTTCTCCTGCAAAAATTAGCAGGTGCTTCTTCATAGTAAAAGGAGGTATAGTAGCATTGCTGTGTTTAGAAATTATCTATGAATCTTGGAAAACATTTATTTAGGGTAGGAAAATGGCTTTTGGGATTTTATTTTACTGAACATATAAAAATATATTTTTTAATCCACATAATCCAAATGTTCTAAAACTTTGTGATTCAAAGCTCTCTGAACAACTCCTGTAAGTGTTTTTCTCTGATAGAGTATAAATACTTTGGTGTAGCAGATATTAAATGTGCAGTGCAATTGAATAAATCTGTTTTATCTGTAGACTCTGTGAATCTGTAAATATATTTCTAGTCATGAACCAAACTGAAATTGTAGGCTGGAGTGGGTAAGGGAAAATAAAATTACTATGTACACTTCTAGAGAAAAGTAGTCTGTTGTATTTATCTCTATGCCCCCTTCAAAATTCAAGGTGCCCTCCCAACTCTTACTCAGCAGCTAAAGAAGTAGGTACTGCCTTATCTAAAAATTTGAATTATTCCCTCCACGCCAAATAATCCAAGGGACTTTTCCTCTTTAGGAGTAATCAAAGCTGTAAATCCCAAAGACCTATATCACTTAAATAAGAAGAGAATTATTATTTTTAAATGAAAGACTATTTTTTTACAGGCAGTCCTGAAAGGTTCCGATTCAACTCCAATAGCATCTTTGCGCAATTTTTATTGTTTCTAACAAAATACACATTTTCTGGTGAAATAAAAGCCATGGTCATATATTCAATAGTTGGGCTGTTCTTCCAATGACGAGTAAAAAGCTAATGGTAAAATTAGCTTTGTAAAAACATTAAATGGAAAGCAAACCTTTTTATAGGCTGCTGTCTTTACAATATAAGACTGTTTAACCAGTTACATATTGGTTTAAAAGATAAAAAAGTAGAGGGGTTTTGCCTCCTCTCTCTCTCTGAAATCTATTAAAATGAAATAAAATTGGAACACAGTTAAAACAACCTAAACATTTTGAGTAATTAATGTAAAATATGGAGAGAGAATATCATTATTTAATGAATTCCTATCCCAATCAACATGGAATACACTATATCTATTTTCTTATCTTAAATATATATATACATAGATAGATATTTTAATACACTATATATATGCTTGTCTTAAATATATATAGTTTTATATATACTTACATATGAATATATATTTAAGACAAGAAAATATATAGTGTATTAAAATATATATTTTTATATGTGTATATTTTTTAAGACAAGAAATTAGGAAGAATGAGTTTTTTTTAAGAATTTTTTTAAGAAATATAATTTTTTAAAGAATTTTTTTAAGAAATAGAAAACATTAAGTCAATACTTTCTGATCTTTTCCAATGTTTGAAAAATTTTTTAAATTTTTTATTTATTTGTAAATTTATTTCAGCACAAAGGATGGAGTGTGTGTGTGTGTTTGTTCCAGTGTGTGTGTTTTGAAATCTCTGTTGAGCCAGTTGTAACATATTACTGGTTCTCTTATTAATTAATAAGTTAACTAAAACTTTTGACATTTGTTCAATTTATATAAAAACTGGAATTTTACTTTAAACAAAACATATCCTTTAACAACTATCTGTTAAGACAGACCACATAAACATCGTAAAATAATCTTAATTTTGATAAAACCACAGCAGGATATGATAAATGAGCTGAGATTATAGAATAAATTAAGTTATAATAAAAAGCAGCAGTGATTTAAATCACATCAGAAACAATCATAATTAAATCATTAGCACCAAAAACGTAGTCACTGAACTAGAAAACTGCTTAAGAAAATAATAAAGCAAAAAGAGAAAAATATTAAATAGAGCAAATAAATGAGATATTTGGAGTGGAAAAAAATATGTAAAATATAGAGTTACCTCTGAATTTCAGAACCGAATTAAAGAAATTGGCCAAATGCATTTAAATTACATTAAGAATAGAAGAGTTTTCTTGCTCTCAGGTATAAAAATCACATTTCCTATAAGAGGGGGAAAAATCAGAGCAGCTTCAGCTTTTATACACACACAGACAACATCACTGTCAAAAGACAGTAAAGGAGAAGTTAGGAGAAGGGTATAAAATATGAAGTAATTATTGATTTTTTGAAGAAAGTGACACCAATTTCCAAATACTACCATTGATGAGGATACTGGGCAGGTAGAAGTGGTGTTAGCTTAGTGTTTCAATCTTTTAATCTCCCTGATTTCCCCTTATTCCACCCCAAAACAGAGTAACTAAGGTAATTAAACATACAAACAAAATAACTCATTGACAAATAACTGCATATGTTCACCGACATCATAAGCTGCAAGACCTGCATGGTATCAGAAGCTGTGCAGAAGAAAGAAGACTGAAGTAAATGGGCAAATTGTACACTTGCAGGTGGGAAAACCCCATAAGACCTAATAGGTACTCACTGGAAAGTGGTGGTTACTAATTTAAGATCTGCCACTGATATGATGAGGGATTTTGTACACTCTACTCCATTTGTGAGTGGAAAGGAAATTTGAGGATCTAGTAAAATAGCTCCTCAGCTCTAGGATCCAATGCAAAACAAATTTTCAGGAGAATCTCATTCTAAAGAAAATAGTGTTGAACATGAGCAGGACAGGGACCATGAGGGCAAAGAAAAATCAAAAACAACAAAAGAAATCCTTTAGATGAAAAGGAGGAAAAGAGAAGAGAAATTCACAATACATTAAGCCATATTTTTGAATCTTGATCCAAGAAACAAAAAAAGTTCTAGCATTGCAAAATTGACTATCTATCATTACCTGCACCCCCATGCAATCTACTTCCTTCTACACTTTGGGAAGACTACATTAACGTAAGATAAAAAAGAATAAAAGATTGCATTTACACGCCATAAAGGTTTTATTATTGTTTGTTAGGGGCATTAATTTTAAAAAAAAAAAAAAATCCCTTTCAACCCAGAGAAACGTTTCCAAAGGCGGAAGAAAAAGAGAACATGTAGAATTTGGTTTTCTGTTTCTGCATTAATTCTCTTAGGATAATGGCCTCCAGCTGCATGTATGTTGCTGTAAAAGACATGATTTCATTCTTTTTATGGTTGTGTAGTATTCCATGGTAAACATGTACCGTGTTTTCTTTATCCAATCTACTGTTGATGGGCAAATAGGATTTTTTCATGTCTTTGGTATTGTGAATAGTGCCACAATGAACAGACGAATGTATGGCCTTTCTGGTAGAATGATTTATTTTTGTTTGTGTATATACACAGTAATGGGATATACACAATAATAGGATTGCTGGGTCAAACAGTACTTCTGTTTTGCATTCCTTGAGACATCTGCATACTGCTTTCCTCAGTGGCTGAGTTAATTTACATTCCCATCAACAGTGTGTAAGTGTTGTTCCCTTTTCTCTGTGGCATCATCAGCTTCTTTTATTTTTTTGACTTTTTAATAATACTCATTCTGACTGGTGTGAGATGGTATTGATTGTGGTTTTGATTTGCACTTCTGTGATAATTAGTGATGAGCATTTTTTTATGTTTTTGGGCCATTTGTATGTCTTTTTTTGAGAAGACAGTTTTTAATGGACTTACTTGTTTTTTGCTTGTTCATTTGCTCAAGTTTCTTTTAGATTCTGGATACTAGACCTTTGTTGGATGCAGAGTTTGTGAATATTTTTTCCCATTCTATGGATTGTCTGTTTAACCTGTTGATAGTTTCTTTTGCTGTGCAGAAATGCTAGTTTAGTTAGTCCCACTTGTCACTTTTTGTTTTTGTTGCAATTGCCTTTGAGAATTTAGAATATTCTCACTTATAAGTGAGAGCTAAATACCTCTTTGCTTTTTTCTTGATTTTACTGGCAGTTGCTCTGGTAGTTTACTATTAATTACGTCAGTGTGGGTATTTTTTTTTGTAAATATCCTTTGTCAAGATTACTCTAGATCAAGAGTTTCTTTGTACATCTAATTTATTGTTTCAGATGAATAGGTGTTGGATACTTCTAATACCTATTGAGATAGCAATATTGTTTTTCTTATTAGTTTAGTCATCAAATATTTACTGAGTGGACATCATGGATAAA
Organism: Homo sapiens; assembly: GCF_000001405.40. NCBI lineage: Eukaryota > Metazoa > Chordata > Mammalia > Primates > Hominidae > Homo > Homo sapiens. Next base: position 19,224,287 of record NC_000005.10, on the reverse strand, counting down.
GCACTCTTAGCTAACAGGGTAAAGTGAATAAAGCTGTTAATTACCCTGTGTAATTGGGCAAATAGTGCATCACACTAACTTTTTATGAATTTTGCCATGATATTTATTCAGTCATAACATATATACATATAGATATATGTCCAGTACAACTGGACATAAAGATGGAAACAATAAACACCGATAACTACTAAAACAGGGAGAGAAATCACCTATTCCTTCTATTCAGCCCTTCAATTGATTGGATGAGGTTCACCCATTAGGAAGAACGATCTACTTTATTCAGAAAACCAATTCCTTTTTGTATCCTTTTTAAAGCTTTTCATTTTGACATAACTGTAGATTCATATGCAGATGTAAAATATAATACACAGAGGCTTCATACACACTTGACCCAGTTTCTCCCCGATGCTAACATTGACTATCTATCATTACCTGCACCCGCATGCAACCTACTTCCTTCTGCAATTTGGGAAGACTTCACATCAAGATACAGGACAGTTTCATTACAAAGTATCCTCCTGCATCCTTTTACAACAGCACCTCACTTCCTCTTCTCATTTCCTATACCTAATACCTGGCAATCTTGAATCTGTTTTCTATTCTATAATTTTGTCATTTCAAAAACAATATTTAAATTGATTATGTAGTATGTAATATTTCAAGACTGACCTTTTCACTAAAAATAATTTCCTGAGATCCATCAAAAGTTGTTGCGTTTGTCACTAATTTATTTCTTTTTATTACTGGGTAGTAATCTATGGTATAGATGTACCATAGTTGATTTTACCTATCACCTACTGAAGGTCAAATGTTAATGCTATCCAGAAGCACTCTCACAGACGCACCCAGAATTATGTTTCATGAAATGTTTGGGCAGTCAAGCTGGCAGATAAAATTAGCCATTACAGCAGCCAAAGATCCATCCAGAAGAATTACCAAATGAATTCTGCCTAACCAAGGAATAAATAATTGCTAGCAACTGATCAAGAACATAGAACATTTTTGGAGATTAACAAGCTGATTTTACAAACTAGGTGTATATAAAAGGAAAAAAAATCTTGAATAGTGACATCTTTAACAAATTTGAACATATATCTATATGTATATATGTTATGACTGAATAAATATCATGGCAAAATTCATAAAAAGTTAGTGCGATGCACTATTTGCCCAATTACACAGGGTAATTAACAGCTTTATTCACTTTACCCTGTTAGCTAAGAGTGCTTTATCCATGATGTCCACTCAGTAAATATTTGATGACTAAACTAATAAGAAAAACAATATTGCTATCTCAATAGGTATTAGAAGTATCCAACACCTATTCATCTGAAACAATAAATTAGATGTACAAAGAAACTCTTGATCTAGAGTAATCTTGACAAAGGATATTTACAAAAAAAAAATACCCACACTGATGTAATTAATAGTAAACTACCAGAGCAACTGCCAGTAAAATCAAGAAAAAAGCAAAGAGGTTTCTCACTGTTATCTTTCCTCTACACTATTAGATAGCATCATTAGCAAAGCAATGGGGTGAGGATAAAAGATAATGGCATATATATATATATGTATGTATAAGCAAGAGAAAATCTCTCATTATTTAGAAAATGAATGATTACATGTAAAATCAAAGAAAATGTGTGGTTCAATATTTAAAAAAGTTTAAAGTACCATATGAAATATGTATAATATAAAAAGTTAATATTCAATAACTTTGGTAAATAGAAAGAAGTCCCTGGCATGGTAGCCAGCTTTCAGTATAACCCCTATAGATCCCTGCCTCTTGGAATTCAAGTCCTTTTGCAATCCCTTTTAATGAGTGAAGACTTGATAAAGCAAATTCTTTTATTAATATAAAACAAGTGATGTCTGACTCCACGACTAGGCCATGAAAGGCGGAGTGGTATCTTGAGCATTCTCTCTCCTTCACTCTCTCATTCACTCTTACTGGTATAACTTGCTCTGGGCCTGAGAGGCCACATGAAAAAGCTGACGAGTTGAGGGACGGAGGCCTCTGGAAGGCAGGCACATTAGCAAGTTTAGAAACTGATCCTGCAGCTCCAATCCAGCCTTCAATTCATTGCAGCCAACATTTTGACTTCAACCTCTAGAAGATCTGAACACTCAAATACACAGTTAAATTGCTTCTACACAATTTTGCCCATTGTGTCACTCTACTTAATAAACTAACTGTAATGTTGATAATTTCATTAATCTGAGTTAGTTTGAATCAACTCAAATTATATTCATATCATAAAATTATGTCTTGAAATTTCACTCAATCATAGATAGTACTTTTTTTCTGATTGATTCAAATGGCCCTTTATATATAAAGGACCATTATATATAAAGATGTATACATCTTTCTATATTTTATATATAAAGATGTATACGTCTTTCTATATTTTATATGGAAAGATGTATACATCTTTCTATATTTTATATATAAAGATGTATACATCTTTCTATATTTTATATGGAAAGATGTATACATCTTTCTATATTTTGTATGGAAAGATGTATACATCTTTCTATATTTTGTATGGAAAGATGTATACATCTTTCTATATTTTGTATGGAAAGATGTATACATCTTTCTATATTTTGTATGGAAAGATGTATATATCTTTATATATATCTTATATATTCATATATAAGATATATCTCTAATATTTTATATATGATATATCTATATATCATATATATATATCTACGTATCTTATATATAGATATATATCTTATATATCTATATGATATATATCTTATATATCTATATGATATATATCTATCATATATAGATATATATTATATATTTTATATAAGATATATATCATATATATTTTATATATAAGATATATATCATATATTTTATATATAAGGTATATATCATATATTTTATATATAAGGTATATATCATATATTTTATATATAAGACATATATCATATATTTTATATATAAGACATATATCATATATTTTATATATAAGATATATATCATATATTTTATATATAAGATATATATCATATATTTTATATATAAGATATATATCTTACATTTTATATATAAGATATATATCATATATATCACATATTTTATATATAAGATATATATCATATATATCTTATATATTTTATATATGATATATATATTTTATATGTAAGATATATATAGGATATATTTTATATATATAAAATATATATCATATATTTTTATATATCATATATCATATATATAAAATATATGTCATATATTTTATATATGATATATGTTTATATATATTTTATATTCTGTATATTAAAATATATATTTATATATATTCTGTATATTAAAATATATATTTATATATATTCTGTATATTAAAATATATATTTTTATATATTCTGTATATTAAAATATATATTTATATATATTCTGTATATTAAAATATATATTTATATATATTCTGTATATTAAAATATATATTTATATATATTCTGTATATTAAAATATATATTTATATATATTCTGTATATTAAAATATATATTTATATATTCTGTATATTATATATGTATACATATTCTGTATATTAAAATATATATGTATACATATTTTATATTAAAATATATTTATATATTTTTATATTAAAATATATTTATATATATTTTATATTAAAATATATTTATATATATTTTATATTAAAATATATTTTTATATATTTTATATTAAAATATATTTTTATATATTTTATATTAAAATATATTTTTATATATTTTATATTAAAATATATTTTTATATATTTTATATTAAAATATATTTTTATATATTTTATATTAAAATATATTTTTATATATTTTATATTAAAATATATTTTTATATATTTATATTAAAATATATTTTTATATATTTTATATATTTACATATATTTATATATTTTATATATTAAAATATATATAAAATATAAAAAATATATATAATATATAAAATAAAAATATATAAAAATATAAATATATAAAATAAAATATATATGTAATATATATAAAATAAAAAAATATAATTATTTATATAAAATATATATAATTATATATAATATATATAAAATATAAAATATGTATAAATATATATAAAATATACATATATAGATATAAAATCTTTATATCTTCATATATATAAAATATACATATATAGATATAAAATCTTTATATCTATATATGTATATATACATATATAGATATAAAATATCCATATATAGATATAAAATTTTTATATCTTTACATATAAAATATACATATATATAAAATCTTTATATCTTTATATCTCTATATCTAAAGATATATATATCTTTATATATTTCATATATACTCATCTTCGACTCCTTTAATTCCTATATACATATATATAAGTACTCCTACATATACATACATACATGTATGTTCCTATACATATATATACCTACATACACTCCATATATATGCATGTGGGAGTTAAAGGAGTGAAAGATGAACACTGAAGAAAAACGTCACTGAAGTATACATTTGTGCTATGCAAATTGTAAGCATAACACTAAACATCATTAATGAGAGCGTTTAATTGGAGATATCCTTCTCATTCAATCACAAGACAAGCATTTAGTAGAAGCAGAAGAAAGAGAAAGCAATAGAACAACCTGACTGTATAAAGAAAAGAGAATGTTTGATAAGGAAGTTTGTGCTCCTGACTACTGAAAAAAACAAACAAACAAAAATCACAGGAGTCATTTAATCAAGAATAGATGTTAGATCCAGGATAGGACTATGAGAAAATAGGGTAGATATGTAGGTTTGCATATAGGGAGGAACTGAAAGAGAGAAAAATTTTCTTTGCCTAGGGATTTGTCTGAATGTCCTCTGCTTTTGTGCAAATCATGGATTTTTAAAACTAATTCCAATGCTGTTGCATCACACTGTCTGGGTGAAACCAAAGATTTCCCAGAGTATTGACAAACACACATTTCTAGCTGAGAATCAGAATCGCAGCCACAGCCATGATTCTTCTGCAGTCCAAAATCAAGAAGCCTGCTAAGAACATGTAGTGGAGAGACACTGGCACTGTTAAGTGTACAGTTGGGTGTTTCCAAGCACATCCAGGATCACACTAGAATGGGGGCAAATTTTAAGTGTGGGGTCTTTTTTTTTTTTTTTGAGACAGAGTCTCGCTCTGTCGCCAGGCTAGGTTGCAGTGCCGATCTCAGCTCACTACAACCTCTGCCTCCCAGGTTCAAGCGATTCTCCTGCCTCAGCCTGCAAAGTAGCTGGGACCATACCTGCACGCCACCAGGCCCGGCTAACTTTTTGTATTTTTAGTAGAGATGGGGGGTTTCAACATGTTGGCCAAGCTGGTGTCCGACTCCTGACCTCAAGTGATCCGCCCACCTCGGCCTCCCAAAGTGCTCGAATTACAAGCGTCAGCCACCACCCCAGCCAAGTGTGGGATTTCTTGATCTCCAGGTGATACTCTAGTGGGTGAGTGGTAGAGTTTTCCTGGAAACGAATCCCCCCAATTGATTAATTTTCCCCAAGTCCGTTTCTGCCGTATTCCCAACTTCTTTATGAAGTCGTCTGTGATCAGTAGTATATGTTTCTGTCTTCTCTTCAGTATGACAAAAAGAATAAGCGTTAAAATAGAATATCACCTAATACATTTCAAAGCCTTAGATTCTAAGAATTTTTGCACGTCGGGCTGAGTTTCCGTAGATAGGCATGTGTGTGCAAATATAATTTGTACAATTAGATTTTTTTTTAGCAATTTGTATATTTCTATATAGGTAGATGACATCACTGGAAAGAAAATAATGAATATAGCATGCCAACATTTTTTGTTCAGGAAATATAATATCATTGACATCCACACTAGAACTGGTATTCCCTGGTATAACTCTTTTACTTTGAAAACTCATTGTGGAAATTAAAGTAGGGGAAATAATTCATAAATATTAAAGATTATAATGATTGGCCAGGCGCAGTGACTCACACCTGTAATCCCAGCACTTTGGGAGGCCCAGGTGGGCGGATCATGAGGTCAGGAGATCAAGACCATCCTGGCTAAACGGTGAAACCCCATCTCTATCAAAAATACAAAAAATTAGCCAGGCGTGGTGGTGGGCACCTGAAGTCCCAGCTACTCAGGAGGCTGAGGCAGGAGAATGGCATGAGCCCAGGAGGTGGAGCTTGCAGCGAGCTGAGATCACATCACTGCGCTCCAGCCTGGGTGACAGAGCAAGACTCTGTCTCAAAAAAAAAAAAAAAAAGATTATAATGATTATAATATTTAATAGTGAAGCATTCAATGCCTTAACTTCATTGTGAAGAACATATCCAAAAGGTTAAAAAGTGACTTATTTCTCAATACATGTTGTGAGCGTGTGCATGCGTGTGTGTGTATTTCACAAAATGTAATATACTGATTATCCTAGTAATGCTACTTTAAAATTCCATTTAATTTTATTTATTCAGCCAGCATTTAATAAAATGTTTTCATTTATGTAATTTGGTAATTACACTCCAAAAGAGCTATATAAAGAAGTAAAAGTCATGTTTAACCCTGTCTTTCCATTGTTAATATTTTGTTTTCCCTTTTGATTGATTCATATGCAGTGCTAGTTACATTTTACAAAAAAAGAGACTACATTGTACTAGTGTGTTATAAAATATCAATCACATATCTAAGCATAAAATTTTAAATAATGTGAATTTCCCACAAATTAAAATTTTGTCTAACATTAAATTTTGTCAGGGCACAGTGGCTCACACCTGTAATCCCAGTGCTTTGGGAGGCCAAGGTGGGAGGATCATTTGAGGACAGGAGTTTGAGACCAGCTTGGCGAGATCTCATCTCTACAAAAAAAAAAAAAAAAAAAAAAAAGCCAGGCGTGGTGAGGGTGCATGCCTGTAGTCCCAGCTACAGAAGAGGCTGGAGGCTGAGACATTAGGATCACTTGAGCCCAGGCGTTTGAGGCTGCAGTGAACTATGACTGTATTGCTGCACTCCAGCCTGGGCAACAGAGTCAGACCCTGTCTCTGAAATAAAATTTAATTTTTTTCAGGCTCAAGAAAATGCACATAGTTTTTATATTGTTGCCACATGATACCACTACTTTAGCAGAAAAAGAAAAATATCTGACAGGTTTATTAGGATAAGCTGAATTGTGAAAGTTTTGAATTAAGGCAACTATTTGGGCTTGCATTTCTCACAAAAATGCCATGGCCTTCAGTGTATTTCTGTCTCTTTGTTTTCACATAGAGTCAGCCCTCTGTTTCTGTGGGTTCCACATTCATGGATTCAATCAGCCATGGATAAAAAATATTTGAGAAAAAAAGGATGGTTTTATTTTTTACTGTTGTCACTTTTAAAACAATACAGTAAAACAATTTACGTAGCATGTACATTGTATCAGGTATTATAAGTAATCTACAGATGGTTTAAAGTATATGGGAGGATGTGCACAGGCTACTTGCAAATACTATGCCATTTTATATCACAGTCTTGAGCATCTATGGTTTTTTGCATCTGAGAGCGGTTCTGGAACCAATACCCCAGGACATCTAGTATGACGGAATAGACTATTGTATCAGTGGAACCTCAGTCAACTCTCCCTAAAGACCCCTTGGGATTTATCAAATAGTTAATTATTGTTAGCATAGAAGATGTAATTTAAAACTATAAGTATTATCCAAGATACACAAAGAACAATTATACATATTTTAAGGAGGGCAGATATCGTGAAGTATTTGTAAAATTCCTGTGAAAAGTCACTTGAGAATATAAGGTGCCCTGTCCAGTGAACCTGTGTCGAGTAGTGTAACACAGCTATGACATTGGATAGCCCTGTGGTGCCCTGTTATGCCCCACTGCAAGTAATAAGCGATTCCAAAACATCATTTACAGAAACCACCTGGTTGTGAACAAAGGGCCGGTCTATGGATCGCTAGTAAACCTTTTAAAAGCAGAGTGGGCCATGCTTTCTTGTGCTAAATTGCTTAGATATGTGAACAAATACTATCATCAACCTCTGACAAAAAATTGTAATGTCTACATGTCACTTGACATTTTCTTAATAAAGGAAAACTTAAAAAGAGGATAATGTACACACAAACACACACACACACACACACACACACACACACACACAGGAACCTGCACCCCACAAACGTTTCAACTGGACTTCATTTCTGCATTCTGAAATGATGTTCCTTTCATTATGTTCTAAAGAATAAATGGAAACAAAGGTAGTTGATAGACAGATATTCTTAAATAAGTCATTTTTTTTGTTTTGTTTCTGAGATGGGATTTTTGCTCTGTTGCCCAGGCTGGAGTGCAGTGGCGTCATCTTGGCTCACTGCAACCTCCGTCTCCTGGGTTCAAATAATTCTCCTGCTTCAGCCTCCCCAGTAGCTGGGATTACAGGCACTTGCCACCGCACCTGGTTAACATTTGTATTTTTAGTAGAGATGAGATTTCACCATGTTGGCCAGGCTGGTCTCGAACTCTTGACCTCATGTGATCCACCTGCCTTGGCCTGCCAAAGTGCTAGGATTACAGGCATGAGCCATGGTGCCTGGCAATAAGTAACTCTTATGAAATTTTGGCAAAATAATGATCTGTTGCATCATTCTGCTTTGTTAATTCAATCATTTAATACTATGTCATGAGCATTGTATTTGTCCTTAAGTAGTCTGTGACAATCAGATATAATCAGAGTATGTATATCTGGTATAATCAGAGTAATATATGACCTCATATATATTATGGAGTCATTTGTGAGACACTGTTACGGTGATTATGCTTGCAAGTTTCTAGAGTGAGATAACATAGACCGAAATCTGGAATTTGCTACATATTTGATATATTATATATTAAATATATAATCTGAATAGGTCTATTACATAATGAGACAGATTTAATGGACAGATCACTGTATATTTTCTAGCATAAATAATAAATAAAAAGGAACCATAATTTCTAGACAAAAGTGAGTTTTCAGTGTAGATTTCATGACTAACACTACTAGTACCTCTATCACCATGTGCAACAGCGTGTAACTTTTCTCTCCCATTTTGGGTCAAAAAGACTGAAGTATAGAGGGGATATACAATTTGTCAAGGTCACATATCTAGTAAGTAGAACATTTCAGATTTCAATTCAAATTGTGTCATCCCCAAAACACTCACTCATAATCACTGTAACAGTGTCCCACAAATGACTCCATAAAGTTCCACAATGAAGATATATCAAAATTCACTTGAATGAATATTTAAACATATTTCCAAATTAAGCTGTGTAAATGATAGTATGGTAAATATATTGTATATAATCATTTTTCTTTTCTTCTTTTGGTTTTTAGAAAATAAAACTAAGTTAATAAATTTTTATATTCCAGCATGTTAAGCTTTATCAGCATTATAATTTTTACATATTTTATTTCATATATGCTTTCTTTTAAAGCAGTTAAGTGCTCACTTCATGTTGAAATTTTTAATTTTTAGTTTTTGGGGGTACATAGTAGGTGTATATATTTATGGCGGTACATAAGCTATTTTGATAAAGGCATACAATGCGTAATAGTCACATCAGAGCCAATGAGGTATCCATTACCTTCTTTCTATGTGTTACAAACAATCCATCTTTTTAAGTTATTTTAAAATCTACAATAAATTATTGTTGACCATAGTCACCCCTTTGTGCTATCAAATACTGGATCTTATTCATTCTATCTGACTATATTTTGGTATCCATCAGCCAATTACACTTACTCCTGCCCCCAGCCCCCAGTACCCTTCCCAGCCTCTGGTAACCATTGTGCTACTCCATGAGTAGCACATTGAACTCCAGTAGTTCAATTGTTTTAATTTTTAGCTTCTGCAAATAAGTGAAAACATGCAAAATTTGTCTTTCTGTGCCTGACTTATTTCACTTAACATGGTGACCTCCAGTTAGATACATGTTGTTGCAAATGACAGGATGTGATTTTTTTTCATAATTGATTATTACAACATTGTGTATAGGTACCTTTTCTTTTATTCATTTACTTGTTAATGGAAACTTAGGTTACTTCTAATTCTTGGCTATTATGAATAGTGCTGCAATAAACATGGGAGTGTAAATATTACTTCACTATACTGAGTTCCATTCTTTTGTATATACCTAGCTGTGGGATTGCTGGATCATAAGGTAACTCTATTTATTGTCTTTTGAGGAACGGCCAAACTATTCTCCATAGTGGGTGTACCAATTCACATTCCTGACAAGAGCGTATAAGGGTTCTATTTTCTCCACACCTCCACCAGCATTTGTTATTGCATGTCTTTTGGGTAAAAGCCACACTGGGGTGAGATGATATCTCATGGTAGTTTTGATTTGCATTTCTCTGATGATCAATGGTGTTGAGCACTTTTCATGTACCTGTTTGCCACTTGATGTATTCTTTTGAGAAATGTCTGTTTAAACCCTTTACCCATTTTTAGCCAGATTATTAGTTGTTGTTTTCCTTTAAAAGTTGCTTGAGCTCCTTTTATATTCTGGTCATTAATCCCTCGTCAGGCAGATAGCTTGCAAATATTTTCTCCCATTTTGTCTGTCGTCTCTGCGTTACGTTGATTGTTTCCTTTGCTGTGCAGAACTTTTTTAACTTGATGTAATCCAATTTACTCATTTTTGCTTTAGTTGTCTGCAAAAATGGGCATTGCTCAATAAGTCTTTGGCCAGTTCAATGTCCTGAAGAGTTTCTCAAATGTTTTATTATAGTAGTTTCATAGTTTAAGGTCTTAATTTTAAGTCTTTCATTCATTTTGATTTGATTATTATATATGGCAAGAGATAGGGGGCTACTTTCACTCATAGACATATGGATATCCAGGTTTTCCAGCACCGTTTATTGAAGAGACTATGCTTCCCCCAATGTATGTTTTTTGTATTCTTGTCAAAACTGAGTTCACTGTAGTTGTATAGATTTTCTTCTGGGTTCTCTATTCTGTTCCATTGGTCTATGCATCGCTTTCTATCCCAATACCATGCTGGTTTGGTTATGATAGCTCTGTAGCATAATTTGAAGTCAAGTAATGTGATTCCTCCAGTTTTGTTCTTTTTGCTCTGCATGGCATTGGCTATCCTAGGTCTTTTGTGATTCCACATAAATTTTAGGATTGTTTCTGCTATTTCTGTGAAGAATATCATTGGCATTTTGATAGAGATTGCATTGAATCTATAGATTGCTTTGGGGAGTATGGTCATTTTAACAATATTGATTCTTTCAATTTCTGAACATGAAATATCTTCATTTTTGTGTTCTCTGTGATATCTTTCACCATTGTTTTACAGTTTTCATTGTAGAGATCTTTTACTTCTTTAAGTAAATTCCTAGGTATTTTATTTTATTTGTAGCTACTATTAATGAGATTACTTTCTTGACTGTTTTTTTCAGATTGTTTGCTGTTTGGCTATAGAAATGTTACTAATTTTTCTATGTTGGTTTTGTATCCTGCAAATTTACTGAATTCATTTATGACTTCAATAGTTTGTTGCTATAGTCTTTAGGTCCTTTCAAATGTAAGATTATATCATCTGTAAACAATGATACTTTGACTTATTATCTTTCAATCTGGATGCCCTTTATTTCTTTCTGTTGTCTGATTCCCCTCGATGGGACTTCCAGTATGATGTATAACAACAGTCGTGAAAGTAAGCGTTTGTCAAGTTCCACGTATTAGAGGAAAGGCTTTCAGTTTTCCCTCATTTAGCATAATACTAGCTGTGGGTCTGTTGTGTATTGCTTTTATTGTGTTGAGTTATGCTTTTTCTATACTCACGTTGTTCAGGGTTTTTATCATAAAGGAATGTTGAATTTAGTCAAATGCCTTTCCAGTGTCAATTGAAAAGATCATATGGTTTTCATCCTTCATTCTGTTGATATGATGTATAACACTGATTGATTTGCATATGTTCAATCATCTTTGCACCCCTGGAATAAATACCATTTCATCCTAAAGAATGATCTTTTTAATTTGGTTTGCTAATATTTTGCTGAGGATTTTTGCATCAGTGTTCATCATGGATATTGGCCTGTACTTTTTCTTTTTTCTTTTTGTTTATCTTTGATGTGTCTGTCTATTTTCTGTATCAAGGTAATACTGCACTTGTAGAATGAATTTGGAAGTATTCTTTCCTCTCCTGTTTTTCAGAATAGTTTGAGTATGATTGGTATTAGCTCTTTTTTAAGTGGTTGGTAAATTTTAGAAGTAAAGCCATTAGATCTCAGGCTTTTCTTTGCTAGGAGACTTTTTATTATGGCTTTGATCTCATTATTTGTTATTGATCTGCTCAGATTATGTATTTCTTCATGGTTCAATCTTAGTAGGTTTCTTATATATAGGAATTTATCAGTTTCTTCTAGGTTTATTAATTTATTGGCATATAGTTGTTCATAGTAGCCTCTAACTATCCTTTGAACTTCTGCAGTAATGTTTGTAATGCATCCTTTTAAATCTCTGATTTATGTATTTGGGTCTTCTCTTTTTTTCTGTAGTGAGTCTGGCTAAAATTTGTCAATCATATGTTTTCAAAAAACCAACTTTTTGTTTCTTTGATCTGCATTTTTTAAAATTTAAATTTTATTTATTTCTGCTCTTATATTTATTATTTCTTTTACTCTTCTAATTTGGGGTGTGGTTTACTCTTGTTTTCCTAGCTCTTTATGATGCATAATAAGGTTGTTTGCTTGAGGGTTTTTATTTTTTTTTTTGACGTAGGAGCTTATCGCTTTAAATTTTCCTCTTAGTACCGCTTCTGCTGTATCTCCATGGGTTGTCATACATTATGTTTCCATTATCATTTGTTTTAAGAAATTTTTAAATTTCTTTCTTGATTTTTTCATTAACTCACTGGTCATTCAGAAGCATATTGTTAAATTTCCATGTGTTTTCAGAGTTTCAGAAATTCTTCTTCTTATTGATTTCCTCTTATTTGATCTTATTGTGGTCAGAGAAATAGTATATTTAATTTCATTGAAAAAATTTAAGACTTGTTTTGTGGCCTAACATATGGTCTGTCCTTCAGACTAATACATGTGCTGTGCAGGAGAATATATTCTGCAGCCATTGGACGAAATGTTCTATAAATATCTATTAGTTTGGTCTACAATGCAGACTAAGTCTAATGTTCCTTTGTTCATTTTCTGTCTGGATGATCTGTCCAATGCAGACAATGGGGTATTGAAGTCCCCAGCTATTATTGTATTGAGGTCTATCTCTCTCTTTAGCTCCAACAGTATTTGCTTTCTATATCTGAGTGCTCCACTGTTGAGTGCATATATATCTATAATTCTTATATTCTTGCTGAATTAACCTCTTTATCCTTACATAATGACATTCTTGTCTCTTCTTATAGTTTATGTCTTGTGATCTATTTTGTCTGATATGATTATAGCTATTTCTGCTCTTTTTTGATTCCATTTGCACAGACTGTCTTTTTTTCATCGATTTATCTTCAGTGTACGTGTATCTTTATAGGAGCAGTATGTTTCTTGTTAGCAACATATCATTACATTTATTTTTTATCTATTCAGCAGCCACTATAGGTCTTTCTGTGTCTTTTGATTGAAGATTTAGAGCATTCAATGTTATTATTGTCAAGTAAGGACTTAATCCTGCCATTTTGTTATTTGTTTTCTCGTTGTTTTGTGGTCTTCTCCTCCTTTGTTTCTTCCTTCTTGTCTTCCTTTTAGTGAAGGTAATTTTCTCTGGTAGCATGTTTTAATTTCTTGCTTTTTATTTTTTGTGTATCTCTTATAGTTTTTTTTATTTGAGGTTATCATGAGGCTTACACAGAATATCTTATAACTCACTATTTTAAATTCATGGCAACTGAGCACTGATTGTGTAAGCAAACAAACTAACAAGCAAAGAGAAAATTAATAAAAATTACACTTTAACTTCTACGCTCTACTTTTTAACTTTTTGTTGTTTCTATTTATATCTTGTACTTTCTGTATCTTGAAAAGTTGTAGTAGTTATTTTTGATTAGTTCATCTTTTAGTCTTTCTAATCAAGATATGAGTAGTTGACACTAGTAATTACAGTATTATTCTATTCTGTGTTTTTCTATGTATATACTATTACAAGTTAGTTTTACACCTTCACGTGAATTCTTATGCTCATTAACATCTTTTTTCTTTCACATTGAAGAACTCTCTATATCATTTATTGTAGGACAGGTCTGGTATTGATGAAATTCCTCAGCTTTTGTTTGGGAAATTATTTATTTCTCCTTTGTGTTTGATGGATATTTTGACTGGATACGCTACTGTCACAGGATCCTTAGGGTGTAGTTTTTTCAGCTGGAAAACTCTGTGGCCAGTGGCACTTTTGCCCAAGTTTTGCTCAGGCCCTCTGGGCTTGTTCAGCCTACTCGACCTGGAAGGCTGAGCTTGAATCATGCTACCAGCCCAGATCCCATGCCTGCCAAGGGCAAGGCAGGTATGGAGCGGCAATGGGTGTGTGAGCGAGTGTGGCATCCGGCCACTGCACACAGCCAGGTGTGCCAGCTGTGGCAGGGCAGGCAGCTCCAGCTGGCAGTATAGGCACTGGATCCATGTAAGGCTGCAGCTGGATCAGGCATAATGCAAGCAGCTTCCACTTTGGCTCCAGGGAAGACGGTGGCACTTGAAAGCTTGGAGATACCAGGAATCACAGAGCCCTGGAGAGAGCATCACAGCCCTGGCTCAGAGAGCCCTTAGGCCTGGGAACCATGAAGGGCTGCAGCTCATCTCTCCTTCTTGTCACCTGCAATGTGGTGGGCAGCAGGCAAGTTTCAGCCCTGTTTGTGTTACAGCTCTTTCAGTCCTACTATTTGGTGAGTGCCTAGTTCTTGTCCTGCATGCAGGAAGAATGAGATACTTGGACAACTGGAGATTGAGCAAGGTGGAGAAGAGCTTCACTGAGTGACAGAAGAGCTCTCAGGAGATCTGAAGTGGGTAGCTCCTTCTGCAGGCAGGTTGTCCTGATGAGTTTCCAGCCTTCAGTGGAAGGGAGACCCGTGGTGGATATTTCCTTTCTACAGCTGGTAGTCCTGATGTCTGTGTAACTCTGGCTGAATCTGGGGTTTTTATGGGCTCAGAAGGAAGGAAGAGCATGCTGATTTGTCCATGGACAGCCATGCGAGGGCCCAGGAAAAGCACCGTAAGTTCTCCCTCCAGGCCACAGAGTCTACCTGGAATTGGCAGCCAGGCCCCCAGGCTTCAGGCTGTCCCTGACTTAAAGATAAGGTTTCACCAGGGACCTGCCCCTTTCTGCCCAGAAGCCTGTCTGCCTCCCGCCATCAACAGTGTCCAGGCTGTTTGGGGGTAAGGGGCACCTGCAGACCCACACCCAAGTTGCCCTCAGTGCCCTCGGCCTCCTTCTCACAATCATCAGTTCCCAAAGTTTCAGAGGGGACAAAGGTGGTGGGTGTCTGGCATGTCAGAGCTGCCCTGAGTGTGCACACACCCTGCTGGGTTAGGACAGATCCAGGGCTCAGCTTCAATTTTGCTCTGAAATCAGAGCAGATGCCATGAGTAGGGAGAGGTCTGGGAGTGAGAGCAGGCACTTCTGAGCATGCAGTGGCAGGGAAGGCTTCCCGGGCCCCCAAGAGGGCAGGGATGCCCAGATCCAGAGCTGCAGTTGAGCAAATGCATGCGGTTGCACCTGCGAACATGGGCTCCTGCCCTGCCAACTCAGTAGGGGGTGGGGCTCCTGCCTGTTCCTAGGTCTTACAGGTTCCATGGACCATGCAACCCTGGCTACGCATCCCCTGCTGCAGCTGCCATCTTGGCAGGGGCTGCTCCAGGCAGGCTGCCACTGCCATCACTTTTGTAGGATAAAAGTGTTTTTCTTCAGCACTTTAAATATGTCATGCCACTCTCTCCTGGCCTGTAAGGTTTCCACTGAAAAACGTGTTACCAGATGTATTGGGGCTTCATTGTATGTTATTGTATGTATTGTACATGTATTATTGCTTTTCTCTTGCTGCTTTTAGGATCCTTTCTTTAATCTTTCTCTTTGGAGGTTTGTTTATTACATGTCTTGAGGTAGTTTAACTCGGTTTAAATCTGCTTAGTCTTCTATAACCTTCTTATACTTGAATATTGATATCTTTCTCCAGGTTTCGGAAGTTCTGTTATTACCCTTTTGAATAAAATTTCTACCCCTATCTCTCTCTCCTCTGACTCTATATTTCTAAATAGCCTGTCTTCAAAATCACCAATTCTTTCTTGTTCTTAATCAATTCTGCTGGTAAGGGGCTCTGATGCATTCTTCAGCATGTCAGTTGCATTTCTCACCTCCAGAATTTCTGCTTGATTCTTCTCATCTCTTTGTTAAATATATCCGATAGTATTCTGAATATCTTCTCTGTGTTATTTTGAATTTTGTTGCATTTCCTCCAAACAGCTATTTTAAATTCTCTGTCTGAAAGGGCACATATCTCTGTCTCCTTAGGATTGGTCCCTAGTGTGTTTTTTAATTTGGTGAATGCATGCTTTCATGGATGGACTTGATGCTTGTGAATGTTCATAGGTGTCCAGACATAAAAAAGTTTAGCGTTTATTTTATTCTTTGCAGTCTGGGCTTGTATGTGTATAACCTTCTTGAAATAGCTTTCAAGGCATTCAGAAGGACTTGAGGGTTATAAATCTGATATTTTTGTCTCTGCAGCCATATCTGCATTAAGGTCACCATTAGCCCAGTAATGCTGTGGCTCTTGCAGATTTCTTGACGTACCACCTTGTGGTCTTGGATAAGATCTGGACAAATTCCCTTCACTACCAGGCAGAGATTCTTGTTCTAATCTCTTATTTCTCTCAAATGAATGAAGTCACTCTCTTCCTTTCCTGAGCTACCTGGAGTTGAGGAGAAGTGACACAGCACTTCTGCAGCCACTGCTCCTGGGACTGTGCTGGATCAAACCTGAAACTAGTACAGTACTGGGTCTCACCTAAGACCTACAGCAATCACTGCCTGGCTATCACCTATGTTGACTCAGGCCCTAGGGCTCTATACTCAGCAAGTTGCAAAGCCAGTCAGGATTGTGTCTTTCCCTTCCAGGTGATCGGTTCCACTGGCTCTGGGTGAGTCCAGAGATACTGTCTAGGAGCCAGGGCCTGGAGTTGGAAAACTTGGATTCTACCTGCTTTTCTATTCTTCTGTAGCTGAGCTGGCACCCACACCACAAGACAAAGTTCTTCCCACTCTTATCTTCCCTTTCCACAAGCAGAGGAGTCGCTCTCCATGTCCACCACCACACCAAGCCCACAACGAGTACTGCCTGGTTACTGATGATGATCACTCAAGGTCCAGGGGCTCTTCAGTCAGCTTGTAGTGAATGCTGCCAGGCCTGGGACTCTCCCTTCATGGCAGTGATTTTCCCTGTGGCCCAGAGAAGGTCCAGAAATGCTGTCTGAGAGCCAAGGCTTGGAATTGGGGAAGCCAAGAGCCAACTTGGTGCTCTACCCCACTGTGGCTCTGCAGGTGCTTATACTGCAAGATAAAATCCCCTTTACTCTTCATTCTACTTTCCTCAAAGAGAAGCAGTCTCTCCCCATAACCACCACAGCTAGGAATGTGCTGGGTCACACCTGAAGCCAGTGTATCTCAGAGTCTCATCCAAAGCCTACGGTGGGTCCTACCTGGATACCACTGATTTTGCAGGGACAAAGGGCACTTTAGTCCCTAAATGATGAATCCTGCCAGAAGTGGGTCACTACCTTCAAGGGAGCATATCCCCTTCTGGCCCAAGGTGTGTCTAGATATGTTGTCCAGAAACTAGGGCCTGAAATGGGATCCTCATAACTCTGCCCAGTTCCCTACCCTACTGTGGCTGAGCTGGTATCCAAGATGCAAGACACAGTCCTCTTTACTCTTCCTTCTTCTCTCCTCAGGTGGAGGGAAGGATACACTCCTGGATGCCTGGGTTTGAGGCAGGAAAGGCACAAGCACTTTCTGGTCCACTATAGCAGGTGTCTCACTAATTCATGTTCCCCCCATGTCTGCTGGCTCTGAGTCCAGCACAACACTAGGACTTGACCCAAAATTGCAGTCCTTGTGACCTAAACTGCCTTTCAAGTTTATTTAGGACTCTAGAGCACGATGGGCTGCAGTTCTGGGGCTTGCCAGAACTCAGGTTGTGAACACTGACATGGATGATTCCCCAGTTGCTGGGGCTGGTCTAAATGCTCCCTCCGTGGGCACCAGCTGAGTTCTGCCTGCTGTTGCTTTCTGCTGTGACAGGGCAGCCCTGAGCTCCAATGTAAAGTCCTGCAATCGCTGTGTTCTTCCTCCCCCAAGAACAGATTCCCTCTCTGTACTATGCACCCACTGTTTGGGAACGTGGATGGGGGAATGTAAGTGATTCAACACGCGTTCCTACACTCTTCAGTGTTTCTTTCCATAATATGAAGTTAAAACCAGGTACTGTGATCTTTCGCCTGATTTGATGCTCCTTTATGTGGATAGTCGTCCAATTGGGTATTCTTGAGGGGAGGTCAATCAGTGACCTATTTGGCCATCTTGTTATGCCTCTACATGTTTTTAATTTCATTTTAAAATTTAATATGTTTTAGGATTGAATGTTTTAGGATTGAATGAATATAAAATTTAATATATATTCATAATTTAATATAATATGTTTTAGGATTGAATGAATATAAAATTTAATATGTTTAGGATTGAATGTTTTAGGATTTAATGAGAATATGCAAATTGTTTAGTTTATATAATTGTTAAAATTACACTGATTTAAGGCTAAGTACTTCAAATCAGACAAATATCCTCCTGTGAAAACAGTAAATGTGGAAGCAAAATATATTACAAGAAAAACCTAAGACAGTTGCTGGAAGTGGAATAGGTGGAAAATTAATATCCTTTTTACACATTAGATTTCTGAGCTTATGTTGATTTTCAGTATTTTTGTGTCTTAATATTAACAAAATTCATTTTGACACTGTTTCTTAATGCATTAAAGGAATATTTATGATCAGAAACAAATTTTCAATGGTGACTTTACTATGTCTGAATTCTTATTATTCAAGACATAAAAGGGCATAAAAAACAAATGTCCAAAGGCATAGACCAATATTAAGAACAAAAATATATAATCGCAACCTCACTTGATTTAATAATAATTTAACATTTTTTTTCTTTACACACACATACAAAGCTGAGAATAATTGGTAAGATGTATCTTTCCCTTTGTTCATATGCTCTTGAATATTTATCATTGTTCACATTTTTATTCATTTTGTATATGTGTCTCTTTTGTGCCTCCTAGGCAATCAAATACCAGACTACCTGATTACTGAGCAATTTTTCCTTCCTAATTCACTTCTCTACAATTTCTGCACTTAATTTTTGTTGAATTTTATCATGTTAAGTTGTACAAACATTTTAAGTTTGAATGCTTTCAGAACAGTCATATTATAAACCAGTATTTAACCCTCATGGAGGTGTCATCAACCACTGCTTCAGTTCAGAAAGTTTTAATTATACTGCATCATCTATAGCTGCAGGAAGAGGTGTGAGATTCCCATCATCTTCCCACTAGACTTTCAGGATTCAACTCCCTCTTCCTTGATAATAAAGGGACTTTGGAGCATTGTGTGTGGAATCATGTATTTTAATGACAAAAAAGATAGGACGCGTATCATTCATTCTCTGTACTCAGATAAGTGACATGCTGATGCTTACAAGGAAAGCCACAACGGTTGGGCATGGTGGCTCACGCCTGTAATCCCAGCACTTTGGGAGGCCAAAGCAGGTGGATCACCTGAGGTCAGGAGTTCGAGACCAGTCTGACAAACATGGAGAAACTCTGTCTCTACTAAAAATACAAAATTAGCCTGGTGTGGTGGTACATGCCTGTAATCCCGGCTACTTGGGAGGCTGAGGCAAGAGAATCAGTTGAACCTGGAAGGTGGAGGTTGCGGTGAGCTGAGATCACACCACTGCACTCCAGCCTGGGCAACGAGCAAAAATCTGTCTCAATAATAATAATAATAATAATAATAATAATAATAATAAAGGAAATCCATAATGGAAGGGCTAGCTAGTGTATTCCTTGCATTTAGGCAATGGGTAATTCTGATTGGAGTAAGATTTGGGAAATTTATGTATGCTGGCTCAACCACCAGTTTGCTCCTAGGCTATGAAATACCAGACTCTTTCTAATTATTGGAGATTCTTTCTTCTTGTAATTACTTTCAAGGTTTGTTCTCAGGCTTATATGCCCCCTACCAGCTCAGTGATAGACCCTCTGCATAATCCACATCATCTCTCCTTTTATTTCTTTTACCCCATTTAATATATCTTTCTCTCTCAGGTCTTTTTTCCCCAAAGGCATTTTTCTCCTGCTACATTCTCCATGACAGCACTTTGAGGTTTTTGTTTTGCCTAGGCTAATTCCTCCATTCTTCTCCACTGGAGAACCCCAAATTTTTGTAGTATGAATTCCTCAAGTGAGGAAATATAATAACCAGTTCAGGGAGAGTATAATTGGTCAAAGCTACTTATTTGCCTCAGATTTACATGAAATTTTTAAACAAATACAATTCCCCAAGCCGGTCATGGAGTCTCATGCCTGTAATCCCAGCAATTTGGGAAGCTAAGGCCGGTGGATCACTTGAGGTCAGGAGTTCAAGACCTGCCTGACCAACATGATGAAACCCTGTCTCTCATAATAATACAAAAATCAGCCGGGTGTGGTGGCACTTACCTGTAGTCCCAGCTACTCAGGAGGCTGAAACATTAAAATCACTTGAACCTGGGAGGCAGAGGTTGCAATGATCCAATATTCTGCCATTGCATTCCAACCTGGGTGACAGAGAGATACTCTGTCTCAAAAACAAGCAAGCAAGCAAACAAACACAAACAAATATAATTCACCAAACCCACTCCATAATGAACTCAGAATTTATGAAAGCCTTTTTACTTTTTATAACAGTCCCTTAAGTGATTATGATATACAGTGTAGATTAAGAAACACTACTTTATGCCAATTATTTCAGTTCCATTCCTCTTGCTACTGAATGTCCCATTTCTCTTGCTATTGATTGATTTGGGCTGAAAAAATATGAGCATCCTTCATAATTCTGACAAATAGGACATGAGAAGAAGTTTTCTATGGGACTTCTGAAAAATGTTTACTGACTCTTTAAACTTAAAGAAGGCAGAGGCATACTTAATTTTATATGAGCATTCTCATGTCAAGAATTGAGCCCTGCAATTTCTGTAGTCATCTTGTGATGATAAAGACTGGGTAAGGATAAATCCAAAAAGCTAAAATGTGTTATAAGATGCAAAAACTTTGGCTGTTCAATATGTTTGACCTAATTACTTGGTTAATCCAGTAGCCAGGACTTTTTCATATAATAAAAATTAATTAAGATATTTTACTTTAGATTTTTGATTTCTTGCACCTCATTTTGTAGAGGAGGGTTCTAAAAAACCCAATACGTGTATCAACGACAAAAATCTCTTGTTTCTCTCATTTAAACCCTTGAAGTTATCAAGAAGAAACATGTATATTAATTGTGTATTCAGTCACAAATAATTGGGAAAAATAACATTTATATTTTTGCATTAATGCAGTCCAAATTTTCCGTATTTCACTTAGAATTCATTTGTCACTTAAAACAATTATCTTCTAATTTCAGCTTAAATTAATTTTTCACTGCAACTGGAATATTGGGAATTTCATAGGCTATATGGATGTGTTTGGGGACAAGAAAAAAGAGACGATATTTTCTGAATAAATATAGTGAATATATATAAATAGGATAGAAATGTAATATATATTATTTCTTTTTTATGAACTGTATGGCTCTGAAAACCTTAGAAAGTCATTATTCCCTTGTGCCTAGCTCAAGAATGACTCTCATTTACTTTGTGATAATTTAGAACAACTCGAACCTTCCATAAATTATTTAATCATATTCCCTCTGGATGAGAAAATAAAGGGTGTTGGTTGGATATGTGTGTTATAAGAGATGTAAGAGATGTAAACACTATAGAAATAGCATTTCATCTTCTTGGTGGAAATGACTTGAGTGATGACAGCAAACCAGAGAGCTGAAATTTATAAAAATAACTTTATAAATGGTATTAAGCTGATTTGTTCTCATGATTGCTTCGTTTATCACATATTATCATTCTCTCATCCATCAGTGACAAGGCCGAGTCACTAACTACAAAGTCCACCAACACAAAACAACTTCTTTTTGGTTATGAAATATTTCTGGGATTTGTCATGTGCGAAGAACAGATGTTAGCAGAAATCCCAAAGAACTGCCTTACGGTAATCATAAGTCTGTAACATGTAACAGATAACAGGTAATATGTACAAATAACAGAACATGTAACTGCAATAACTCAATGACTAAGGTTGAATGTCATTTTTCTACTGCCCACGTATCCCCATATAGATGCTTGTGGGGGAAAAAATTTCAGTTTTTTTAATGTTAATGGAGAAGTCAGAGATGACACAGGTATTGGATTGGATTTTCCCTAGCTTTATCAATAACAGATTAGAAGAGGCAATATGTGTCATTAAATAGGGAAGTTATAAAACAATAGTAAAAGCAATAAAAAATAATCAGCATATAGCTTTGTATAGGGCAATATAAAATATATTAAACAACTATGGCTCATGTCTTTAACTGCAATAAATTTAAAAAATAAAGAACACAGTTGAGTTTACTTTCTCTGTGAAGAATATTAAAATCTCTTTGCCCTAGTCAGGGTATAGAATATTAGAGCTGACAGATTTTCACCAGAAAATTACATAATGACAATATTCTAGATCCCTATAATAAGAATTTCAGAGAACTCGGTTTTAGCATTATTGTCTTTGCTTAAATTTGAGAAATAATTCTGAGTTGATTGTCTTTATCCACGTTTTGACATGATGCTTGCAAAGACACTATCAATTTTGTTGTTTCATGTCTCTATATGAAAATTTCACTCAGACTTTATTACACTATGAAAAGCTCTGTCTTTCCCTAATGGCGTGGTAAGCATCCTTTTATAGGATAATTAGACTCATGAAACTCATCGTGTTTATGTACTTGCTGTAGCTGTCAACAAGCCTAGCACAAAGATCTGTGCTCATTTCTCCTTGCTCCCCTCAGGCTAGGCTCTCTAAAAAACATTTTCTCCTTACTCTATTTCTTTTTTTGCCTTTTTTGTTCTAACTTTATTGAGGTATGATTGACAATAAACATTTTATATATATATAAGTCATAGCACTTAATGATTTGATATACCTATCCCTGTGCAGTCTTCACCACAAGCAAGTGAATTAACATATCCATCACTTTACATGCTTACTTTTTTGTGTGTGTGGTGAGAATACGTAAGATCTTGGCAAATTTCAGATTCCAAGTATACAATACAGTACTGTTAACTATAACTATAACCACATTGCTATACATTAGCTCTCTATAACTTACCTTGCATAACTTCATATCCCTTGACCGACATCTCTTAATCTCTCCCTCCCCTGAGCCTGGGTGAGATGTGGTGATTCCAGCTCTGGGGATGGCACCGTAACATAATTTCCATGGACTAAAGAATGTCAAGTCCCTTGGTGGCCAAAGCTGTGTGTGTCCATTTGGGTGGTGAGGTCTGCTAGGTCCCTTAGTGGTGAACACTGCTAGAGTACTCCTGTTCTCTTTTTCCTTGTGGGTGGAAGTCATGGGCCAAGGAGATCCCCCTTGATGCCCGGTCCTGGATGCGGGTGCACTGGGAGGGGCTGTGGCACCAGTGTCTGATGTGTGGTTTTAATGTAGAGGATGTGTGAAGCCAGCGTCTGGAGCATGGGGATGTGTGGAGCATCACGATGGCAGTGGTGCTGGTGTACAGAGCACCTATGTGCCCAGCCTGCGGTGCTGGTTTCTGAGGTGTCAGTGCTTGCCAAGTGGCTTTGGAGCCCGGGTTTGAACCATGCATGTAGGTAGAATGACTGAAGCTCCAGGGGAAGGGATGTGCATGTTGCAGAGGGGAAGAGGGTTGGCTCAAGCTCAGGGTGGCACAGCAGCGGCCCCTTTTTTGAAGGGTTTACAGCAGCTGCAATGACGGTTGAAGTCCTCAGTGGTGAAGGCTGCTGCTGTGCTTGGCTGGGGACTGCAGCACTCGTCATGTTGCTGATGCTGATAGCCCCCACCCTTCTGTGCTCCTAGCAGTCTCCAGACATTTTCATCTCTGCTGGTCTCCTCGGTGAACCGGGTGAGGTGGAACCAAAGCTCATGTTTTGGGTAGCGCCTGAAAGTCTGGGGAAGCTGGTTGCTCACTCTGCTCATCTTTTTCTCCCAAGATAAACGAGCAGCCTTGTCATTGATGAAGTTTTCTCTCATTGCTGAGCTGTGACAACCAGGGAAATGGGGTGATTCGGGACACAATAAAACTATTCTTCCTCATCTTTTTGTGTAGTTTTTGTTTGTTTTTTCCTCCACAGTGCTGCTGTGCCTTTTTAACTGAACTCTGCTCTCCCGGAGATATCTTCATCTGTAAATAGCTGCCTAAGTGTTAGTTTTGTGTAGATATGAAGACTAGAATCTCCTACTTCACTATCTTACTGTCATCACTCCCCTCTCCATTCCTTTTTTAAATAGTTGTTTGTTTCTTTTTCTTTACCCTTTCCATGATTTTATTATAATTATAGCTTTTATTTCAAGCTCCCTTAAATGATTTGACTATATGCTCACTCTGTATTGGCTTTACCTAATTTAATCTGAAAACATTGCTTTGCAACAGCTATTATTTTATTTATACATTCATTTTATGTGCATTAAAGATATGAAAATTGAGAGTAGCAAAGTTAAATAATTGTCTATGCTTACACATCAAATACATTTTCTAGGTCTGGTTTGAATTTGAAATTTGTGACACTAGATGCTGCAATCCAAACTCTATTGAAAGTCAGAAAAATAGAATTTGATCTGGTCTCAAAGAGTAGTCTGTCCATTTTATTTCTTTCGCTTTCCTCAATCATTTTTCTTTTATTTCCTTTATCTTCTTCCCTTCCTCCCTCCCTTCCTTCCTTCCCTTAATTTTGTTTTTATTTCTCTTCTTTCTTATTTTATTATTTTAATCTTTCTGCTATGGTTTGGACATTTGGAGGAGAAGAAGTAAATGAGTTTTTGTGCTCTGTTAGTTCTCAGGAGCTTCAGAGAGCTGGCTGTCAAAAAGAGCCTGGCACTTCCCCTCTGTCTTGCTCCCTCTGTTTTCATGTGATATCTGGTACACACAGGTTCCTTTTCACCTTCTGCCAAAAGTGGAAGGAGCCTGAAGCTTTGACCTTGCTTTGTGTGCAGTCTCCAGAACCATGAGCCAAATAAACTTCTTTTCTTCATAAGTTACCCAGCTTCAGGTATTCCTTGATAGCAACACAAAACTGACTAAGACACTAAGAACGTGTCTTAGTCAACGATCCATTATTGCAATGGAAACATTTCTTATGTGAACATATCTGACTAACAACATAACAGCCAGAGAGTTATATGGTTGTTAGAATTTTTAGTTGTTCCAGCCTGGGCAACATGGCTAAACTCCATCTGTACAAAAATTTTAAAAAAAATTAGCTGGGCATAGTGGCACATGGCTGTAGCCCCAGCTACTTGGGAGGCAAAGGCGAAAGGATAGCTTGAGCAGAGGAGGGGAGGTTGAGGCTGTAGTACACCAAGATCACACCACTGCATTCCAGTGTGAGTGACACAGTGAGACCCTGTCTCAAAAAAAATTTTTTTTTTGGTTGTCACATTAACCCTCCCATTCTTATTTTCTCTTCTCATTGAAGCTTAAACAGGAAAATATTCAAGCATATAAACACTTGTTATTTAAGAGAACAGCTGTATGTTTAATACTGTATTTGTATTTTTCACTTCCGAAAAATTCTGAAAACTATGAATAGAGCACTTTGTCCCACATTAATATCTCTGGTTGAAGAATCATTATCATTTCATGGTTACTTACAAGCTTTTGGTTACTTCTTTCTCTCCCTCTCATTTTCTTTGTTACTTACTTTCTATCAGAAAGCATTGTTTTCAAAACTGTTCTTTTAGAATATCATTTAGCTTTGACAGCTCATCATTAATTTATAGATTCTCTATGAATGGTGATGGTGTGTTTTCCAATACATTACTAGGAATATTTGATTTAGTGTCATTTGATGATTTAAAAATAAATGGCCTGCTGCACATTCTTAATCTCTTCATTCAGGGCATAGTTTAAAGCTATGTGTTTTGGAGTTCTCTTCAGCCTTTTGGCACATCATTTTTTATTCTTAATCTGGAACATTTAGTCCATTGTATTTGTGAAAAGGATAAAAGTATTTATATATGTATTTTATTCTATATATACAATTATATATTATATATTATATAATTCTATATATATTCTATATAGAGGATTTATTTATATAGGATATTTTTTAAAACTATATTTAAAACATATATAGGATTTCATTGATTTGTTTTTATCGAACACTTTAACTAAGGCTCGCATCTCTAGTAATAGAAAGTGTTTATAAGATATTATTATTATTATTTTAAGATGGAGTTTTGCTCTTGTTGCCCAGGCTGGAGTACAATGGCACGATCTCAGCTCATTGCAACCACAGCCTCCTGGGTTCAAGCGATTCTCCTGCCTCAGCCTCCTGAGTAACTGCAATTACAGGCATCCGCCACCACGCCTGGCTAATTTTGTATTTTTAGCAGAGATGGGGTTTCTCCATGTTGGTCAGACTGGTCTCGAACTCCTGACCTCAGGTGAGCTGCCTGCCTTGGCCTCCCAAAGTGCTGGGATTACAGGCATGAGCCAACATGACCAGTCTATAAGATATTATTTATCTAATGTTTTAAGTACTTTATGTTTGTAACTCTGACAGAGTGATATTAAATATAGGGCAGGCAATTGGTAAGCAGAAGGCAAGAGAGTTTGGTTCTAACAGGATTCACTTTAATTGCCAAGCTATGATAGATATCAAAGCAATGAGAGTTTTCCAAAGTGCAGTGTTACATGCTTTGAATATGTCATTTCATTTCATAATCACACACACACAATTATGAGACAGTTATTGTGATTACTCCCATTTTACAGATGTAGACACTAAGGCTTCCTGGGGTGAATATTTTGTATGAGTAGTAAATGGAGCTGGGATTCATATAGAAATTATCTGACTCCATTATACACTTTCTTTTTGCACTATGTTGCCACACAAAGTACAATCAACCAACAGATGAAACTAGCTTGTTGAAAATCCCATGTTGCAAATGATTTAGAGAAAATTGAGAACACCCCTCTACTCATGGAACACACAGATATGTTGAGTATTCAGTCTGCTTCCACTTAGTAGATACATAGGATAATATGGAAACATGACTATAGATAGAATACTTCTTAAATTAAATGTTCCCTTGTAAACTCTGTAGGTTTTTTCCTCCACTGAATGCTGTTTTAAATGTTGATCACTTTTACCTTGGAAAGGCTTGACAAGATTAAAATAGATATATGGCTCTATAGAGGAGGTTTCCATAGTAACAGAAAATACATAAAACAGAGAAGCACAAAAATGCAATTTTCTATGTATGCTGAAAGATGTATTTTATTCTATTTATAAATCTAATACCATGTTGGATTCAATGTTAATTTCCATTTTAACATTTTCTAGTTAATTTGTCTCAAAAGCCCATATATTGTTGGTTTTTAAAGGATAATTGAAGTAAAGATATTTGCATTTCCTACCATGAAAGGGAAGTAGGGACATCTGAAAGAAATAATGTTTAGACACGTATTTAAATCTTCATATGCTTCTTTCAGAGCCCCTGCCTATATCTATCCCGCCTCCTCCCACTCACACACCAACTTCCTAAGGATTCTACATCCTGCAACATGCCCCTGAACAGAGCCTATGAGGTCATTTATACCATTTACCATACCGCTGACTAGACTCCAAGACTTCCTGGTAGAACTTTCATGTATCTTAGTTTAACTTAATCTAACACTCCCACCTTATCCCAAATGATTTTCCATTGGCTCCTGGAACTTACAGTCTTTCTTAAGTAAAATTCTGAAAACTGTCTCTATTTCTTTTCCAAATCCTCTTTTAAATTTTGCTTTTATCGAAACCTAGTTATTTTCTAATAACAACTCTTACCTTTTTTAAGGTCTTCACTGTGTGTTGGGTGGGTCGTACCTGAGTGTATGTGTTTTCATTTTCCTTTGTCTGAAGATAGCACAGGTAATTTTCTTACAATCCATTGCTATTTAAAAAAATATATTTTTATCTTTGAGAATCCCATTCTCTTTTAGACTAAACATCAGAGTAATTATTTATATGTATATATACAAACAGACACACACAATCTCTTATTGCCGCAAAAATATACTACCTTTCCAAGAAATTCTTCCCTGTCATGAAATATTTGATCCCTTGATTTACTCTCTTTATGGTCGCAACTACTTTTGTCCAGTTAGATTACAATTAGGCATTTGTATGCATTCTATATAATAGTTCCAACATTTAATCTTATATACTTGATTCTCTACTCTGAGTTGTTTCTCTTGATCTTCCATATCTCTACAAATGGCATGATTTAACTAGGCAGGTCAAAATCCAAGAGTTTTCCCTGATTATGCCTTTTCTTATGCCTCATTACCTGCCCATCATCAAGTCCTATAACAGGTGGACATGTAGAGACATTTACACCACAGTAAGAGATCTGAAATTTTTTTCTGAATATGATCATAATTCACTGGTAGCTTTTGAAATGGATTTGACTGTTGAACACACCTCTATGGCTAATACATATAAAACCAACTGAAGTGGAACACCAGTGGAAATGGGAAGACCCATGGGTGGTACAAACTTGAGTGATTGCAGTAGAGTAAATATAAAGTAGTTATCCTCCAGGATGTTTGTTCCAACATGGCTACACAGTTTTCTTGCTGACACTAAAAATCCAGGAGCTCGCTATTGTCATAGGCTTTTTTCCCTTTGTTTTTTTCCATACCTTTGATTACATTCTCCAGTTCTTTTACAGGGCATCACCTCACTTCATTTTAGTCTGCTCAAATGACACCTAAGAAAAGGAGTATTAGTGCACTTTTACAACCCATCACTTGGAATCTGTTTCACAACCTAATTTTATCTCATATAAATTACATATACAATATTACATATCATGTTTCCCATATGTGTGCATACACACGTGTGTATATATGTATCTATAATGAATATATTATGTCATGTATTTATTTATTTCTTAACTTGCACAGTCAAATGAGTTGAACTCAAGGGTTTGGTTGTCTTTTCAACCACTCAACTTTAGCACTTACAACAATGTTAAAGCACATGACAATTTTTCACACAATGATTGACAGAAAGAACATAAATTTTGCCAAATTTAGAACTCAGAGGAAAAGTGCAGAATATATTTAAATGAGGGAAACTTACAGAATCTTCTTTAGTTTATAGGTAAACGGACTGAGAACTGGAGAAAGTAGGCAAAATATTTCAGGCTATAGTCAAATAATTTCAAAGCTATGAATAAAACAAATTTTTAGTTCCAAGTCCATTCTACTTGCAGAATGTAGGCAATATATAGAAAATATAAATATATACACATAAAAGACAACAAGCTATGAAATTAAATTCGTCTGATTCAAATTCCACAATCATTTTTTCTAAAACTCTGTGATCTTGGGGAGAATAACTATTTGAGTGTCAGTTCCTTAATTTGTTAAAGGAACACAGTGTTTCCTTTGCAAAACTGTGGCAGGAATTATGAACTCTTTTTGGGAAATACCCAAAAGTGGACATTTCTCACCATAAACTTAAATAATTCACAGTTTTTGGTGGTGTTGGTGAGGCTGATGGCATTGTTATTGGTAATCATTGGAACTTTGAGTCCAAGAGGCTATAATTTGAAATGCTCAACTATGTTTGTGTAATTAGCTCTTTAAAAACGAACAACCGTATTTCTCATCATGGCTATCTTGATAAATTTTGCCAATGATAAATTACATTATTCATAGGAAAAGCAGTTTTTATTATCACTAGAATGTGTGTTTGTGTATATTAAAATAAATTATACATTTCCTTCTAAATCAAATAATCCTTTTGTCAAGAAATTAAGTCAAATCTACCACTTTTTATTGAAATTTTATGCCATGGATATATTCAATTATATTAATTCCTACTAAATTCCTGTTCTCTAGTCCTAATTTAATTTTTTTTCTTTCACCAGCATTTTACATAAGAGTATACTATTATTATATTTCCTAACAATTTTGGATGCAGAGCTTATTTATATTAATACCATATTTTCTCTAACTGGAAGTTCCTTCTGCGCAGTGTATATTTTGGGCATTTATTTTAGCCTGTATAGTGCAGAGATCTTCCCACACAACTCCAACTGTCAAGAAGCAGGCATTTCATTGTGTGTGGGAGTGTTGTCTGACAGCCTAATGGATAAATGACGTATTTAAACAATTTTACTATATTAAAGATTTCTGTCTAAAGTGTTTTGGGGTTACTTTGTTCACTATAGTAAATGACATATTTTAGAAACTTAAAGCTGATGTTCCTTATTTAACCTGTCAATTTTAGTTTCAGAAACTGCAGAGTTCAGAAGTTAGTGCTATAAGCATAGCTTTTTCTGTATTTCACATATTAGTTCTGGTTTCTCAAATTAATAACATAAATTTGTATCACATATTTGTGCCTAAGTTAAAAAGTAATTTTGATATTGTATTTCTCCTTAAGGAGACCATTAAGAACAAGTTAAGTCAAATACAGCCTATGATTGACATTTCTCATTAGAAACTCTTACTTGTTTTGGTTTTTCTGGTACTACAGTTTTGCTTCTCTTTTGAGTGCTGCAATTGGCTCTTTTCCTGATTGACTTTTCCTTCCATCTCTTTAAATATTGATATGATTCAGTATTTAATGTTCTCTTTATTCCTTGTTATATGCATTCCTCCCACCTCCCAAAATTATGTTGGTGCTCACATGTTTAGCAATCACCTCTGTGTGAATGGAAGAACTTTTTCCAGTAATACAATGACTAGGTTTTCCAGTCTCAGAATGTTGTTTGATGTTCCATATTGAATTACTCTTGTTCAAAAAGGGGGAGGTTCAATTTTCTAAATAGAATATTTCCTGGAGCAAGCACTAGAGCACTAAAAACCTGACTGGTCATTCTAAACCCTTTGTATAGTAATAATGATGGTAAATTCAGGAAGCAAGTGCTTCTGTTACTTGTTATCAATGTTTGCAAATTATTTTAGTAGAATTGTGCTCACAGTCTCTCTCTGTCTCACACTCACAGTATATAAACATATATTCACTACTGTTAAACACATGTGTATATACTTTATTTCATCAAATGTAGGATGTGATTGATTTTAAACTGCCATGGATTTCTGTATTATTAAGAAAAATAATAAAAGTACAGTCTGTAAATTATGGCATATTATCAATTGTAATACAAATTTTAATTTTTAAGTTGTTAAATGTGAAAAACTCATGGAGTAAAAAAAAATATTGCACACACACATGCACATATACATACATGCAGTAAGCTTAAATATTAACAAAGGAAATAAAAGATTGCCTTCATTAGCTCTAAAATTAAAAAAGAGCTCTTCTGGAAGCAGACTTTTCTAAGCATACATGAAGCAAGAATAAGGCAAAACGATTTAGGCAATTTTTCCCACCAGGATGACATAAAAGGTAACTGAAGAATATAAAACTTGGTGGGGGGAGTGATGTCAACAAGATGGCAGAATAAAAAGCCCAGGACCTCCCTTTTCCAGAAACTAATTCAATGACGAAATATATAGACTTTTTTTGTGCATGAGTCATCCAGAAACTAGTTGAGAAGATCCTGCATCTGATAACAGGGACACCAGTCACATTCACCTTTCAAGAAAATTTTAGGTACCCTTTTGCCATCACCACTCCAAGCAGAGTGCAATATAATCAGAAAGAAACTTTCAGCACCCTGATTTTCCACAAAAAATTTTCCCTGCTAAATTGGACCTCACATTCAATGTTTCAATTTTTTCCAGGGAGTGTCCAAAGTAGCAGCTTCTACCTCACCTGTCAAGGAGCACTAACAGGACTGAGCATACTCTAAATGACTAGTGCCAATGAGAACAATAGCAGTTTGGGCCAGCATGAAGGCTTGAGGAAATCTGCAGAATCTTTGGACAGGCTGATTACCAGGGTCTTCTCCCATATGAGGCCAGTCCATGAAGACTGGGAGAGATGGCTGTTGTTTCTAATATACAGATAGCGCATAATGAGTCAAAAAAACTGAAGAAGCAGGGAAATGTGTTTCAAACAAAGAAATAAGATAAATCTTCATTAACCAAAATTAGTAAAACAAAGATATATAATTTCAATGGGGGAGAATTCAAAATAACCATCATAAAGTTGCTCAACAAAGTAAGAAAACAACAAATTCACAAAGAGAGAATTTCAACAACGATATAGAGACTATTAAAAAGTACCAAACAGATATCTTGAAGGTAAAAAAATATATAATAGACTGAAAGATTCACTAGAAGGGTTCAACAGCACTAAATCAAGCAGAAGAAAAAATCAGCAAACTTGGAGGAAGGTCATTGGAAATTATCCACTCAAAGAAGCAAAAATAATTAAGAATGAAAGCTTTAGGGACTTACAGGACACCATCTAGTAAACCTATACACTCGTTATGTAAGCCTCAAACAGGAAAGGAGAGAAAGGAAAAGAAAGTTGATTCGAATAAATAATGGCTTAAAGCTTTCCAAATCTGGAGGAAAATGGAAATTCAGATTCAGGATGCCAAATTGTTCCCACATAAAAGGATTCCAAAGAAATCTCTGTACTGAAACAAATTGTCAAAATCAAAGACGAAGAATTTTGAAAGAAGCAAGAGAAAAGTGACTCATTATGTATAAAAGATCTGCCTTAAGACTATCAGATTTTTTTCAATAGAATCTTTGCAGACCAGAAGGGAGTAGAATAATATATTCAAACTGATGAAAGAAAAAAATAACCTGCCAACCACAATGCTGTACCAGCAAAACTGTCTTTCAGATATGAAGGAGAAATAAAATATAAAAATATTAACCACTATAATAATTTATATAATTTATAATAATAATTAACAAAATATTAAACCCTATAAAATATGTTTATCAATACACAAAATAGATGTAAACTTTGACAGCAGTAACATAAAGTTTGTGCGTGTGAGGGGGTTTAATTATATGCAATTTAAGTCATTAAGAACTTAAACTGTTATAAAAAGATGTTTTATTTAAGCTTCATGGTAACCATAAAGAAAATATCTATAGAAGATACACAAACAAAAAAGAGAAAGGAATCAAAACACATCCATACAAAAACAATCAATTAAATACAATGGTAGACATCTAGGAAAGAAAGGAGGGACAAAGGGACTACAAGACACACAGAAAACAGCGAATAAAATGACAACAGTAAGTCCTTTCCTATCAATAATTACTTTAAATGGATTAAATTTCCCCAATCAAATGATGCAGTGGTTATAAGACTGAGGTCCTTGTGTCCTTGCTGACTGCGCACTGGAAGTCATTTTCAGAATGTAGAAGCCACCTACACATATTCCCATGCTTACGGACTCCATGATTCTGTCATCAAAGGCAAGTCACTTTCTTTCAGCCTCATTACTCTAGTCTCCAGCTGCAGAAAGTTTCCTGCTTTGAAGGACTCTTGTGATTAGATTGGGCCTATTTGGGTAATCCAGGGTAATGTCTTTATGTTTTAAGGTTCATAAAGTTAATTACATCTGCAAAATACCTTTGCTACATAATGTAATGTATTCATATTTCAAGGATTATAGTGCAGGCATCTTTGGGAGGCTCACTCTGCCTACTACATATATACGCATTGTGAAAAATGTTTTAAAACCAGATGTTACTGAGAAATACTGGCCTAGTCTGAGTTAACACAATGCATTCGAGCTCATGTTTATTTCTCTTAATTCAATAGTTGGGGTTCTCTTCTCATTGTTTAGCTGCTAATACAACTAAAATTATAATTTTCCATTTGTTTGTGTCAACTATGATTTCTTTCAACAATGTGTTGTTGTTTTCCTTGTAGAGATATTTCACCATCTTTACTCCTTTGTATTTTATTTATTTGTGGCTATTGTACACGGAATTGCATTCTGGATTTGGTTCTCAGCTTGAACATAATTGGTGTATAGAAATAGTACTGATTTTTATACATTGATTTTGTATCCTGAAACTTTACTGAAGTTGTTTACTAGGTCTAGGAGTCTTTTGAAGAAATATTCAGGGTATTCTAGGTATAGAATCATGTCATCATTGAACAGAGATAACTTGATTTTTTCTATATGAATGCCTTTTATTTGTTTCTTTCGTCTGATCACTCTGGCAAGGATGTCCACTACTATGTTGAGTAGGAGTAGTGAGAATGGACATCCTTGTCTTGTTCCAGTTCTTAGGGGGAATGCTTTTAACTTTTGCCTGTTCAGTATGATGTTCACTGTGGGTTTGTCACAAATAGCTCTTATTATTTTGAGGTATATCCCTTCAATTCCTACTTGTTGGTGTTTTTTTTTCATGAAAGGATGTTGCATTTTATAGAATTATTTTTCTATTTCTGTTGTGATGATTATATGATATTAGTATTTAATTTTATGTGGTGAATCATATTTATTGATTTGCATATGTTGCATACCACAAATAAAGCCCACTCAATTGCTCATTTGTGATGAATGTTTTTTTGATGTGCTGCCAGATTGGATTTGCTAGTATTTTTTTGAGAATCTTTACATCTATATTCATCAAAGATTCTGCCTTTTAGTTTTCTTTTTTCATTGTGTTCTTGCCAGGTTTTCATATGAAGATAAAATGTGTTATGTACAATAAATTATGGAAGAATCCCTACTCTATTTTTGGGAATAGTTTCAGGAAAAGATACTAGCTCGTCTGTGTATATCTGGTAGAATTTGGCTGTGAAACTCTCTGGTCCAAGGCTTTTTTTTTGGGAGGGGGCGGGAGTTGGTATGCTTTTTATTACTCATTCTATGCTGTAACTGATTTTTGGTCTGTTCAGAGTTTCAATTTCTCCCTGGTTCATACTTGAGAGGTTCTGTGTTTTCATTAATTTAACCATTTCCCCTAGAATTTCTAGTTTGTGTGCATAGAGATGTTTATAGAAGTCTCTGAGGTTCTTTTATATTCCCATGGGATCTGTTATAATGTTACCTTTATCATTTCTGATAGTGCTTATTTGGATCTTCTCTCCTTTTCCTTTGTTGAATTAGCTAACAATCTATCAATCTTGTTTAAATTTTTTTCAAGAACCAACCTTTTTATTTCGTGACATTTGGATGGGTTCCTAGGTCTCAGTTTCACCTAGTTCTGCTCTGATCTCCAGATTTCTTTTTTTCTGATAGTTTTGGGTTTAATTTGTTCTTGTTTTTCTAGTACCTTTAGATACAATATTAGGTTGTTAATTTAGATTTTTATATGCATTATTTAGGCATTTAGTATAATAAACTTTCCTCTTCGCACTGCTTTTGCTTTATCCCAAAGGTTTTGAAAAGTTTTGTGTCTCAATTTTCATTTGTTTCAAATATTTTTTTTCATTCTGCCTTAATTATATTGTTTACCCAAAAGTCATTCAGGAGCAAGTTGTTTAGTTTCCATGTATTGTGTGATTGTGTGAGTTCCTCTTTGTATTGATTTGTAATTTCATTCCCCTGTGGTCTAAGAAGATGATTGGTATGATTTTATTTTTTTTTTACATTTATTAAAACTTTCTTTGTTACCTAGCATATAATCATTCCTAGACAATCGTCTCTGTAAAGATGAGAATGTATATTCTGTGTTTGTTCAGTGTTGTATTCTATACATATCAATATGGTCCATTTTGTCAATTCTCCAAATTATGTCCAGAAGTTCTTTGATAGTTTTCTTCCTCAGTATTCTGTCTAATGCTGTTAATAGAGTGTTGAAGACCCCCACTACTACTGTATGGCTTTCTGTATCTCAGAGATAGCAGTAATTTTTATTATTATTATTATTATACTTAAAGTTCTGGGGTACATGTGTAGAACGTGCAGTTTTATTACATGAGTATATACATGCCATGGTGGTTGGCTGCACCCATCAACCCGTCACCTACATTAGGTATTTCTCTTAATGCTATCCCTCCCTTAGCCCCCCACACCCTGACAGACTCTGGTGTGTGATGTTCCCCTCTCTGTGTCCACGTGTTCTAATTGTTCAACTCCCACTTATGAGTGAGAACATGCAGTGTTTGGTTTTCTCTTCTTGGGATAGTTTGCTGAGAATGATGGTTTCCAGCGTCATCCATGTCCCTGCAAAGGATATGAACTCATCCTTTTTTATGGCTGCATAGTATTCCATGGTGTATATGTGCCACATTTTCTTTCTACAGTCTATCACTGATGGACATTTGGGCTGGTTCCAAGTCTTTGTCATTGTGAATAGTGCCACAATAAACATACATGTGCATGTGTCTTTATAGAAGAATAATGGATAATCCTTTGGGTATATACCCAGTAATGGGATTGCTGGGTCAAATGGTATTTACAGTTCTAGATCCTTGAGGAATTGCCACACTGTCTTCCACAATGGTTGAACTAATTTACACTCCCACCAACAGTGTAAAAGCATTCTTATTTCTGCACATCCTCTCCAGCATCTGTTGTTTCCTGACATTTTAATGATCGCCATTCTAACTGGTGTGAGATGGTATCTTGTTGTGGTTTTGATTTGCATTTCTCTAATGACCAGTGATGATGAGGATTTTTTCGTATGTTTGTTGGCTGCATAAATGTCTGCTTTTGAGAAGTATCTGTTCATATCCTTTGCCCACTTATTGTTGGGATTGTTTTTTTTTTTTTCTTGTAAATTTCTTTAAGTTCTTTGTAGATTCCGGATATTAGCACTTTGTCAGATCAATAGATTGCAAAAATTCATAAAAATCCTGGACAATACCATTCAGGACATAGGCATGGGCAAAGATCATGTCTAAACCACCAAAAGTAATGGCAATAAAAGCCAAAATTGACAAATGGGATCGTTTAAATTAAAGAGCTTCTGCAAAGCAAAAGAAACTATCATCAGAGTGAACAGGCAACCTACAGAATGGGAGAAAATTTTAGCAGTAATTGCTCTATAAATCTGAGTGCAGCAATATCAACTGCATATATATTTAGGATAGATAAATCTTCTTGTTGAATTTACCACTTTGTGTTATGCTTTTCTTTATTTTCTTTTACTGTTGTTGGTTTAAAGTACATTTTATCTGATACAAGAATGACCACCTTTGATCTTTTTCATTTTCCATTCGCATGATATATCTCTCCATCTTTTTACTTTGAGTGTATGGGTGTCCTTATATGTGAGAAGTGTCTCTTGAAGGCAAAAGAAGGTTGGGTCTTGTTTTTTTTATTTAATTTACTACTCTATGTCTTTTAAGTGGAGAATTTAAGCTATGTCCTAGGTTAATATTAATATGTGAGATTTTGTTTCTGTCATAGTGTTGTTAGCTAGTTGCTTTGTAGTCTCAATTGTATATTTGCTTTATAGGGTCTGTGGGCTTTGCACTTACATTTTCTTTTATGGTAGCAGGTATTGTTCTTTTGTTTCTATGTCTACAACTCCTTTTAGCATTTCTTGTAGGGTTTGCCTGGTGGTAACAGATTTCCTTCGTATTTGTTTCTCTGGAAAGTACATTATTTCTCTATTGTTTATGAAGCTTACTTTGGCGAAATATAAAATTTTTGGCTGTTTCTTTTTTTTCTTTGAGAAGGGTAAAAATAGGCCTCTAATCTCTTCTGCCTTGTAAAGTGTCTGCTAAGATGTGCACTATTAGTCTTATGGGATTTCTATTACAGGTAATTTGGTCCTTTTCTCTAACTGCCTTTAAGATTTTTTTTTTCTTTTGCATTCATGTTGTATAGTCTAATGACTATGTGCCTTGAGGATGGTTATGTTTTGTAGTATCTCCTAGTAGTTTTCTGAATTTATTGTTTTAGATGTCAACATCTCTAGCAAGATTGAGGAAATCTTCCTTAATTATTCCCTCAAATATGTTTTCTATGTGGGTTACTTTTTCTTCTTCTGTTTCAGGAATGCCAAGACATACGTTTGATCACTTTCCCTAATCCCACATTTCTTGATGGCTTTGTTCATTTTATTAAAATCTTGAATTGATTAATTCATGAAAACTAGCCTTCAAGCTCTGAAATTCTTTCTTCTGGTTTGTCTAGTGTATTGCTAAGTCTCACAACTGTGATTTGAAATTCTTGTGGTGAATTTTTTAATTCCAGATGTTCTGTTTGGTTCTTCCTTAATATAGCTATAATGTCTTTCATATTCTGAATCATTTTTTCAGCTTCTTTGTATTAAATTTCAACATTCTATTGGATCTCATTGAGTTTCCTTGCAGTCCATCTTTTGAATTCTTCATCTATCATTTCAGACATTTCAATCCGGTTGCTAGGGAGCTACTGCGATATTTTGGAAGTGTCAGAACACTCTGGTTTTGTACCGCCAGAGTCATTACGTAGATGCTGATTAATTCTCATCTGAGGGAAGTGTCACGTCTTATTTTTGAATTTGCTATCATTTGAATGGGGCTTTTCTTATTTTTTAAATTCTTTTTTTTTCCTTGAGCATACAACTATCATGTATGTTGTGTATGAGCATTTGGCTTAATTTTCGGGTGTTTGCAGGAGGCCAAGACTCTATATGGGTTCCTTGCCTGGGATAGGTTTCATCAGGTGGCTTTCTTAGATGCTGTTTGTTGCAGGCACACATAATTTTTTGATGGTGCAGTTCGGGCTTCCCTCTAGTAGACGATGCTTAACAGTAGGAGCCAGCTAGTAGGCTGGTGTGGAGTTGTCACATCCACCCTGATGGAGGTGGCAGGAAGAAACTGTGATTGGGTGCTCTGAAGCCTTGGGGATAGCACTGGGGAATGCACCAGCTTCTCATTTTGAGCTGGCAGAAATGTGATCCACTTCCCTAACATTCACCTGTCATGGGGCTAATGACTTACTGTTTAAAAGGCGTTGTCCTTTGGTTTCCAGGTGCAATGCAGCTGCGGACTGCAGATCCGCCTTTATGATGGCTACCTCCGGAATGAGATTCCAAGCAGAGCATCTTCTTTTAGTGCAAGGAAGGCAGCTCTGTGGCCTGTCCTCTCATTGCCAGGCCACTGCTGGTCTGTGTAGGGAACGGGAGTTGGGCTCTGCAATTTTGAAAGCCTGAGCAGGTGTAGGCTATCTTTTGTGGGGTGAACAGGGGTGTGAGACATGTTTTCTTTCCATGCACAGTTGCCAGGCCCCAGTGGGAAGAATTGCTGCTGCACTTGAAACAATGTATAATGGACATGGAGGGGTGGGAGATGATCCCCCGGCTACATTCACTCCCAGGTATTGGTGCTGACCACTTCAATGATTGGCTACACACCTGTGTTTCCTTTGTCCAAGGGAGACTTTGGTGGCTGAACTTTCCCTCCCTTACAGGTGGCTTGTGCCAAGGGCTAGATCTCCAAGAGACCCACAGCTCTCTGGGGAACTGCAGGTCCCCTGTGCCTGCCAAAGTCAGTGCCCTTTGTGAGGTACGTTTGCGGATCTGGAGGTTCACTGGTGCTCAAGGGTGGAGGATTCCCAGGCAGGACAATGACACCATGAATGCACAGTTGGTATGCTGCTTGCTGTCAATTTGGGTCTGAGGGAAGAATGGGCATGGCTGAGCAAATTAGCTATTTGGTTCTCTGCTCCTCAGAAATCCTCTAATTACCATCAATAGTGTTGCCCTGTTTCATGAGGGCAAAGGGACTCACCAAAAATTTAGCAGGAGGCATATTGTCAGAGGGTTGAAGGGAGCAGAGAAGCACTTCCACCTACCATTTCCACTGGGCTCTAAGTTCCTCTGGCATCAATCTCAGCAAGGCTCTGGCTGTTTCATTTTTCTGTGGTATCCCAGCTTCTTCTTATGGGTGCTCCTACAGGTCCTGGCTCTCTTCTCTCCATTTTCTGTTCAATGTTTTCCAGTGAAAGGTAATTTTTATCTTCTTTCTGAAGAGAACTGGCATGCCATGGCCCCAGTTGGCCATCTTGAAAATACAAAGACAAAACCAAACAAATAAAAAACCTGGGGATGCTTATCATTAAGTAACACCAGTACATATGTAGAATAAATCAGAAGCTTTTGCTTGCATTTTTGTTTGACAAGTTCCTACACACTGAAATAGCTAATTGATAATATATATACAATTATATATGTATTCATTAGAAACAAATATGTATAGAACATCTATTATAGGTTCCACTCTGCTGTACATATAGTTGATATAGCAGTGAACTAGGTATTGTCTCTCCTTCTGTGAAATTTTCATTTTAGATACCACATTCTGGCAGGTTAAGTGAGGAACCGAAGGACAAAATTAAAGTTTTCTGCAGCTTCTCAAGTTGGTGACCATATTAAGGTGCTAAGAGGGTGGTATGCCTTGGGAGGTCATGTAAGCTCTGTGATTCTTTCACCTTACCTTACCTCATGCAACTCTTCCATTTGGGTATTCCTGAGTCATATTCTGAATAGTAAACTAATTACAGTAATTAAAAATATTTTGTTCACTTTTCAAAAATTAAATTCCAGATATATCAGTTGATAAGAAAAATTAATTTTGCTAACACTGCCTTTTAAAGAACAAATATAGTAGCTTTTTTTGGTTTCAGCTAGTGCTTCAGAGGTTGATGACTTATTGGTGGAAGCCACAGGTAGAAATTTACTGATACGGAAGGTCTTTTGTTCTGGTAATTAAATTATATCAATTCAATCAGTATCTATTGAATACCTTCACCCAGACGTTCACATACTGGTGGAGGAGTATTGGTCATAAGTTACAGTATAATATCATAGGGTGGTCTTTAAGTAAGAACAATACTGGATGATATACACTGCTATATATCAATATTTGTTATAAATCAACAGTAATCAGGAGGCTGTAATTGACATAAGAATAAATAAAAAGATCAATATATCAGTGTAAACAGTTCAATAAGAGACCTATACTAACATAGTCTCTTGATTTATTAAAAATTGGCATTGTACAATAATGGGAAAGGATAGTCTCATCAATAAATGTTTCTGGGTTAATTGTATATCCATAGGTAGAATGTGATTCTTGAACCCACACCACACATTCAAGCAAATAGCAATAAGTCAAATAGACCATGGTCAAAATATAAAACCAAAAATTTTAGATATTTAAAGATAATGTTCATTTTATGATCATAAGACTGGCAGAGGTTTCCTAAATATGACACCAAAATGACTGATAATTTGAATTATATTAAAATTTAAAACATCATAAAATGGCACTATTAAGAGGAAAAAAACAAACAAACAAAAAGAAACAAGAAATAAGCCACGGAAGGGGAGAAGAAGACATTATGGGAAAAGATTAAAAATAAAAAAATATAAGATTGAAAATATAAAGGTAAATGCCTAAGAGACTTAAAATCGCACTTCACAAAACAAAAATAGTGAAAATGTTAGCAAACATATCAGATTTTAAAATAAAACTCAATGCGATATGTCACTCCTCAATCGCCAGAGCATGCTCATGTGGTAGATGAGGGTGGGGAGGTGGGGAGAGGGTGTGGGGAGAGGACTGACAATTCCAAGTGCTGATGAGGAGAAAGGGCAATTGTAACCAACAGGCATTATTGGAGGAGAAAGTAAATATTGCAACAACTCCATTGCAATGAGCATATGCACAACCTATGTGTCAGAAATTCCACTCCAGATATACATATGATAGCAATGCATACAAACACACGCCAACAGATATGTATAGGGATATTCATAAAAGCACTATTTGCAATATCCTCAAAATGGAAAAAAAAAGTTATTCTCACAA
This sequence comes from Homo sapiens, assembly GCF_000001405.40. Taxonomy (NCBI): domain Eukaryota; kingdom Metazoa; phylum Chordata; class Mammalia; order Primates; family Hominidae; genus Homo; species Homo sapiens. The sequence continues at coordinate 19,182,288 of NC_000005.10, read as the reverse complement.
ATAGAATGGATAGATAGATTTTTGGAATAGATACACAATGCCCATACAATGTAACACCAAATAGCAATTTAGATGACCACACTAATCCTACATTTCGCATGGAAAGCTCTTATTAAAGACCCTGATGTACCACAGTAAATATTATTTAATTTCATTCATACAAAAATAAGAAACAGGCACATTTAAACATGGTGGTCACCAGAATGGAGAATTTTTTGACAGGGCCCATATGAGGGCTATTTTGGGATGCTACAAATATTTCATTTTTTATATGGGCAGAGATTACGTGAGTGTATTCACTCTGCATTCAGGAAGTGTTAATATACACTTATTTATGTAAATAACTCTATTTATGACTTGTTACTTTATGTTTTGATGTCTGTGTGTTTGCATTCATGCTTTATTTCAAATTATAAAAAAACAGTGCAGATTTTGAGTTTGTGCTATGCAAGTAAAGTTTCAATTTCTAATCACTTATATATTATTACAAAATTAGACAAGTTATTTTAACCTTTCTGAGGTTGTTTATTTATATGTAAAACTGAAAATACATTACTGAACTAAAATATCTGTGAACAATAATATTAATGTTTGTATTAGTTTTTATGTACCTGACTGCCTGCATTATGCACAGAATTCCATCTAATACAATAACATGATGAGGAAAGTTGTTACATATTCTCTATTTTAGACATGAAGATATATAGGCTTAAAAGTAATGAATTACCTTGCCTAAAATTCTTACAACTAGTAAGTTATAATGCCATGATCCTTTTTTTTTTAAATTCTCTACATCATACTTCCAAATACAGTATTAAATGTCACGATGCATTTATAGTACAGCATTGAAAAAAATTGTGTTGCAAATAGAATCACAGCTCCAATTGGCGTAAGCCAATAGTGGAAATTTTATATCTGGTAAAGACACTTGCAAAACAGGCAAGAACATACCTAGGAATTAGCAATGTCTGGAATAAAGTGATGGGCTGCTAATATGCACCTCTGTTTGCTTTTAATCCACAGAAAAGAATTTTGAGTATACTGGCTTGCATCTGATCCTCCCCTTGTGGCCAGAGCATTGTAGTATCAAGACAATTAGTCCCTAATGAAACAACAAGGTAGGAGAGAAAGGAGAAAGCTCCGTAAATATGTGTATGTGTATTATCTGTACTATATTTGTATATTAATGATGGGTTCTGGGAAGGCAAGCAATAAATGTCCATCACAAGTACCAGCACAAAAACATTCAAGAAATGTGAGCTATTATAATTATTTGCATATGTTTAGAGGAAGATATTCTACTCTGTTTTCTAAGCTTTTATCATATTTTTAAAATAAAAATTTGTCTTCTCTCCCATCATATTTTTAAAGTCATTTATTAGCATAGGCTGTGGATACTATTTCTACTTTTGCAATCCTCAGAAGTTGAAGTCATTCAAACACTTCATCTGTAGCCAACTGTGTTTGAATAAGATAGAGAAAACAAAGGCAGCAACTACATCTCTGCGTCAAGGTAGAGTTACGATTTTTGTCCCACAGTCTTTAATTTTCCAGAATGAGAAGGAAAGTGGAAGTCAACAGGTGGAAAGGATGCTTAGGAGGTTTTACCCTGATAATAGTTTTATAAATGACTTATGGCTTCCCCCTCTTTGTCATCAACATGTGTTTCATAAACTGTTGACAGAAGGGCTAACTGTGGAGTGCAAGTCAGATAGATCATATAATTGCTTTTACACTGTTGCCCCTTAGCAGGTCTGTGTTTGAATATGGATCTCATATTCAAAATCCAAAGACAAATACCTTTTTACCTATTCATCATCAGAGATTAGGCGTGTAGGTTTAGATAATCTATAGCTGACTCTAATACCCTAGTGGTCTAAAGAAATTAATGACTTCCAAAGTTGAGTGAGAGCAGTGGGGAATATATTAGAACAGTGGTTTTCATCCTTAGTACACATGAGAAAGGCACTGGCAGCTTTTAGAAATGCAATGCTATTTCTAAGTCTTCTTAAGAGATCAATTAAAACATCATCTCTGGGTGCATGTCTTCGGAATAGTATTTTCTAAAATGCTCCCTAGGTGATTAAAAATTTCCCCAAACATTACTTAAATCCTAAGAGAAGTCGAATATCTCCTTATAAACCACTGCATTAATGATAGGAAGAATTTACCTTAATAAAAAGTACTTTCTTTTTCTGTTTACTTCAACATACTTTTGGGAATATTTCTGTTTGATATCATTTGAATTTTTAAATAGGGAGTAGGGGAAAAGGGTTTAGATTTTCCCTTCTTCAGTTCACTAATGAATCTGAGTACAAATGCTGAGTCAAACCTCTTTTTTTTTCTTTTTTTTTTTTCATTTGCCTCAGCTGAGTGGAGATAAAATGTACATCAGTTAGGGAAAGAAAAAAATACTCAAAATGCTGAACTTGCTTTTGCTATAAGTAGAACCAATTACTTTTCTGGCTATTTTACACACATAAAAGGTATCTGATGCTAAGCAATTTCAAATTACAGGCACGAACTGGTCTTACTTGTAGGTCTTAATCACTGGTGACAGTGTCATTTCTAGGTCATAAACATGCTTTGTCAGCTGATATATGTGCTTGCTTTTTTTTTTTTTCTAAGAGCCTTGAGACTGTCATTTATAAAATGCTTCTATATTTGTTCATCAAAATCATAAAGCTTTTATAGTAGTGTAAAAATAAATAAATGCACCCTATGCATTCCCAAATACATCTGATTTTTATTTTTTCTTAAAATAACCTTCTCCCAAAAAAAACTCCTTAATTCCAAACAGTCAACTGGAAATTGACTTTTATTTTCTTAATACCTTTTCATTAAGAAAGCTGCTTTGTTCTTCGTTTTCTCCTTTTATATATTTGTATATTTAAATCACACACCCACCCACACACACACACACACACACACACACACTATATTCTTCATGGAATAGAGGTGAAATATTTTACCATCAAATTTGACTTTTACTCATTTAAATGAGCTTATACATAGAGTTACTTTTTAAAAAAAACATTAAATAATTAGTATAATCAGAATATACTTTAAGAGCAAGAAAATTAAAACAAATTTCAGTATTACAATCTGGTCTTGCCATTATTATTTATTACATAAATGTTTATGATAATATTAAATAATAGTACCTTTTTTTTTGAGACAGAGTCTCACTCTGTCATCCAGGCTGGAGTGCAACAGTGCAATCTCGGCTCACTGCAACCTCTGCCTCCCAGGTTCAAGTGATTCTTCAGCCTCAGCCTCCCCAGTAGCTTGGGCTACAGGCGCATGCCATCACGCCTGGCTAATTTTTGTAAATACATAGTATTTTCATAGTAAATTACTACTTAATAAATGAATTATCAAATAAATCTACAGATAAATTGATGAGTTAGTAATAAATCAATATTTCTAGATTTTCTGGTATGCATAGAAGTAGGTGTCAGAGAAAATGGATAAACCTGTTTATGCTTACGATTAAAAAAAACCTAGTGAAAATAAAATAGTGCATTTAAGTTGCCTACTTAAGGATATCCATCTGCCATATGAACATTTAGTTTCAAAAATTCAGCATAACCAAAGTTTAATCAACACATAATAAAATTACAACTTCAAAGCTACATTTTTCTTGTTATCCCATTTCACTTGTTAAGCTGTAAAACAGATTTGAGACTTCTTCCAGAAAAAAATAAAGCTTTATTGCAATTTATTATAACAGATGCAACTAAAGACAGACATATCCGATGTCGTGAATAGTAAGAATAAATAATAAGAAGCTGAGAATTGGCCCCAAATTTAAATATAATCAATGCAGTAGGTTTTGGATCTTAATTTATGGATCTTAATTTAAAATTTTTGAGAATTTTAAATTCTCAATTTAAAATTAAATTCTCAAATTAAAATAATTGAGAATTTAAAAAATTCTCAAATATTTAAAGTATTGACTATAGTCAGGTCATTTTTCGAAAGGATTAAGAGGGGCAACTTGCTGTTCATGATACTGGGACTTACTATGAAGCAATGTTAATGTTGATACTGTGATATTGACTCAGGATTAATCGATGGAGTAGAATAGAGAATCCATAAACAGGTAATTTTGGTAGATGACAGAGGTTGCTTCTCAGGTCAGTTATGAAAGAAGGGGCAGTTGAAAGAAATGGAGCTGGAAAAAAATGACATTAAAAAGATGGACTCTACTCAAAAATGGGCTATGTATGTATGTATGTATGTATGTATGTATGTAAAAAGACCAACTACACAGGGGCTAATATCTTAGAGTTAAAAACTCCAACAATGATAACAACAACAAATAAACCACCTTGAAGACGCTGATTAGAAAATATAATTGAAATTTTTTATACCTTGAAGTCTTGAAAGATTTCTTAAAGAAGACATAACAAAATTGGTTTTGAAGAAACTACTGATACATGTGCCTATGCTTAATTGAGAAAACAATAGAAGAGATCAGAAAATAGATACCTATAATCCAAGATTTAATTTTGGATTACAATAATTTTAAAGTGCTGATTTTTCCTATTTAACCACAGAACATTTATTTATTGCTTTTTTTTTTTTTTTTTAAGACAGTCTCCTTCTGTCACCCAGGCTGGAGTATAGTGGCATGATCTCGGCTCACTGCAACCTCTGCCTCCCGAGTTCAAGCAATTCTCATGCCTCAGCCTCCCGTGTAGCTGGGATTACAGGCCTCCACCACGACACCTGGCTAATTTTTGTATTTTTAGTAAAAACGTGGTTTCACCTTGTTGGCCAGGCTGGACTCGAACTCCTGACCTCAGGTGATCTGCCCACCTTGGCCTCCCAAAAAGTGTTGGGATTACAGGCGTGAGATACTGCCCCCAGCCTCATTGCTTTCTTAAGTTATCCCTTTAAGATGCTAGTTCCATGAGAAGGAGAAACCCATCTCTTGTTCACTTCTGTATCCTCAATGGCTAGAACTCCATTCTGTGCAGACATGGAGCTTAATATTTGTTACTGAAGGACACTTTCAGATGGTGCACTTTTATTGTTTGAAATCTAAGACTGACCAAGGAACTAACAGCAATTATAAAATAATCATTAATTTGATTTGTTATGAGAATAATTCACCCTCAACTGAATAATACATATTCTATAAAATTTTAAAAAGATAACTAGGCTAAACAATGGAAGAAAAGCATACTTGCAGAAGATAAAAGAAAAAGTTACAAATGCTGAGAATAAGTTAACCTGAAGGAAAAGTATTTTTTAATTAAACATCAGTAAAAGGTATAATAACAAAGATGTACAATGGAAGAATGTGCCTAATATTTTATTAGGAAATCTCCATGATGTTTCAAAATACTGTGTAATTTTAAATTTAGCCACTCAAAATACCAGCCACACAAACAGACACAAACACATGCACATTTATATTTATATTGTATTTTGAAGTTTATACATTTATTGTGTCTGAAGAATTGTACTGAGAGAGAATGAATAGGAGACGTATATTTTATTATATGGCTGGCAGACAAACTCAATTTTACTTATGTATGCATTTTTTAAATATTTTATACTAATATATTTTTAAATTAAAAAAGATAATAGTTGATATAAATGAAACGTATACTTTTGTAAATATCTAGTTTTATCAAAAATATCAAACATAGAGCATTATTTTTAATTATAATAAATGTGCATATTATTATGATTTTTTCATTTAACTTTAATGTCTCTTCATAGTACTTTAATTATGAAAAAGTGGGCACCGTCTGTAATTAACAAGGCAAATCTAAATTGCTTTATAAATAAAAATGGGTGATAATAATACTCATACAATCTGTGCCTTATACCTTGAGTTTAGGTACAGAATAACATATAAGGCATCTTTCTGGGTGACACTTAGGGCCCTCTGAGTTTTGAACTGGCCTTGAATTATCTTTCACAGATGGTCAGGTTGTTAAGCAGATGGCTGTTTCCCTGACCTTTAAAATCTTTGTTTTTCTTTTTATAATTACCTGTGGCTTAAAATGGATCAAGTTCTTCATTTTGTATAATTAGCTTTTATATTTCTATCATGTGTCTACAGTAAAATATTAAACAAGTAAAAAGAGTGCACATATTTATAAATGAAGGATTTGAACACAATATATTATTTTCTACAGGATGAGAAACTTCTGAGTGGAGTAACCTTTCTGAATAAAAAGCCATGTGCATTTTCTAGCAGAGTGTGTTGAGAAGACAGACACGTTTTCTTTTTCTATGTCCTGAAACTGAATGTTATCTTTCACAGAGATGTTACATAAGAAGGGGGGTTCAAGAGAGGTTTTAGTAGAAGTAAACATCCCATTTGCCATAATTAAGAGAGAGCTTTTTATAAAAGGCCTGTGACTTCATCTGGTTACTGAGGCTTATGCCAGGCATTGATCTAGACAATGTATTCCACAGAGTTACTACTTCATGGAACATCTTGTTACTAGAGAACATTGTGTATATCCAGAGCTCGTGTGTTTGTGAAAATAAATCCAAATACATATATGTATCTACGTTTATAAATGTACATGTACACATGTCTATACATGCATGCATAGGCATATGTACATATACATGTATGTGTGTAGATGTGTATATATATGCATATATATCATAATATTAGCACAATCCTCACATTAGCATAACATAATTATTTTAATTTTTAATTTTTGCAGGTACATAGTAGGTGTATATATTAATGGGATACATGAAATATTTTGATACAGACATGTGACACATAATAATCATATAATGGTTAATTGTGGTATCCACCACATGTATACATACATATATGTATACAGAGAGGGAGTTGATTGAGTTTGTGGTTGATTGATTAAGCATTTGGATGTATAATCCAAGGAAGAGGATGAGGTGAAGAAGAAAAAAATACATATTATGTATATAAATTTTTTTCTCTTTTAATTTAAGAGCAATTACCATATGCACCATTCATTATTGTAGTAGATATTTGGAAAATACATAGAGAGTCCATATATAAATACATTGACATTTGCCCATCATGGAATGCATTGACTCTAAATTTCCTCATGACTGGCTGCTTCTCATCGTATATTCCCTTGTCATCCTCTTCCCCACACTCAGTTTTATGTCCTTGTATTTCTCACAATATGAAATTAACTCATTTGTGTCTGCTTACTTGGTAGTTTTATTTCTTCATCTAGAGGATGTAAGCTCTCTAAAGTCAGGGACTGTCTTTGAATGTTATAACATTATCTCCAGCATCCAAATTAGTTTCACACAGAAAATAAGCACTCAAAAATGTTTTCTTTACTAAATGAATAAAAAGTACTCAGTGAATTCTGCATAATTATAAGCCATTTTTAAAAAACCAGATGAATGTTTTAGCTTAAAGTTTTTTGAGTTTCTGGTTGATTTTGGTCATTTTCTAAATTATTATGTTCATGTTGAATCAAAATTCTTTCTGCTATTGGTTTGTTCTTAACACAAAGGATAAATGCTTGAGGTGATGTATACCACATTTATCCTGATGTGATTATTATGCATTTCATTCTTGTGTCAAAAAATTTCATGTGAACTATAAATACATACACCTACTGTGTGCCCATAAAAATTAAAAATTAAAAAAATATGTTAGGCTAATGTGATGGTTGCACTAATATTGTGATTTACATATTTACGAAAAACAAGTTTGATTTGCATTTTTATCGAACATTTTTAACAATTACACTATAAAAATATTTAGGTGCTAATTCTCCCTTTTACTGACCTTCTGTGTATGGAAAAAACACTCTAAACACCTAATATGCACCTCAATTTTTCATGTTGTGCACAATTGTACCTCTGTTTCAGGTGAAGTCTATTATATGAAGCAAAATCAGAGAAAGTAAAGGCCAAGTTGATAAGCTTTTTTTCAGTTAAATTTACAAATCTTATCATGACAGTTCCAATATTTAAAATATTTATCTGTATTTATACTTTTTCATTAACTTATCTTTGCTGTTAGACATAAAAATAATAACATAGAAAAGAATAAGTATTATTATATTTCTTTAAAAGTAAACGTTCGTATTCAATATATTTAAAGGCAGTGTACCATTGTATTTAGTTTTATTTTCACATTCATTTGAGTCTCCCTAAAAATAAGGAATATGAATACAGCACTAGTGATAACATTAATTTTCTTATTTCTCATGAGATTTCACACTAACCATGGGGAATTAATTGTTTAGACAATGTTGTCATCAAATACCCACATACATAGCTATAGGAGGGCAATGCCTTATTTCTGAAAGACTAGGATTGGTTCTTATCTACCAGTTTCTAACTATGTAAGCTTGTGTGAGTTTATGTACTTAGATTGGCTAAATTGCAATGACACAACTTGCGTAGTCCTAGAGATAATCACCAGCACAATGCATGTGACATTCTGCTCTTACCAGGCATGAAGTAAGGACTCTAATTATCTACTATTATTACTTTATTTTTACTTTGTCTTTTATTATATGTATACTGTTGGTTGCACAAAGACCTCCTTAGATTCTATAGGCAGGGATATAGGTTTCCTTCTATTTGGTTATTAAGGCCACCTATTAAATAAAAAAATTATTAATCAAATTTAATAAAAATATAACTTTTACTTAAAGCTTGTGAAATGTGTGTACAACATGCCTTTAAAGAGAGCAAAGTTGAGTAACTGTCACATTAAAATTAAAATAAATTCATAAAGAACACTAAAATATTGACACTAGTTGATCTAAAGATTTGAGCTATCTCTAATTTTCTTTTTTTCTTCTATTTTTTACCTCATTTATTTTTACCATTTTGTTTAATACGTTCATTGAACATTTTTCCTGTTTTGGCTACCCTTTTGATTTGGGAGAAATCTCAAGATAGGCAGAAGCCAACCAAGCCATCTGCTATGGAAGCTGAAGAAGGCTGGATAATCCCTTCCTTTTGGCAACATGTTTACTGAGCTCAACAGCCATGTGCCTTCCCTCTCTCCCACCACTAACGACTTTGAATCTTGAATAAATGAAGCAAAAGCGCAATGACATTTAGAGATTTTTGATAGCAGAATCGACAGAGTGGAGTGTCTAATAACACAGTACCAAGTGTGCCAGTGAAATGGAATCCAGCAGGACAGTGGCAGCAGTCCAGACATAGTGGCTACAGTGGACAAGGCCGTGAGCGTCCTGTCAGATAGCAGCAGTGCTCTGAGGTGGATAATTATGGAAGTTCTGTGGCTCTCTTGATTTTTATTTAATTCTTACTGAGCTTGATTTTCAGCAACCTTTTCCATGTTTGGAGCAATTGAGTTCTCTGCCAATAAATTTCATTTCTGTTTAAATTAATGAGTTATAATCATATTCAAGTAAGAATTGTGACCTATTCAGAATTATATGAGATAAATCAGTACTGGGGCAAGAGGAGAACATGGAAATCCAGCAGCCCTTGCTATGTATTTTTCCAGCAATTAATAAATGTCACCTGAAATAAAGTTTTCATTAAAGGTCAGTCTTATGGAATCAATGTCAACCAGTTCTACACAGCACATATGTCTCAAGGGCATGGAAAACATTGGAAAGTGTGAAAGCAATGGATAGCTGAAGGGAAGAAAATGACAATCTAAGGGCCATCATTTCTCAACTGAAGTGATCTGAAGCCTTGCAATAGTATTGCTTTAGAGGATTTCTGCTTTAGAATATCTCTTTACTGAGGCAAATTAATGCAATTTCTCGTACTTGATGTGCAACTTAATCTGACAAATGGGCTTCCTATATATCAATAAACAGAGAACACAGGAAGCAAATGCTACAATCACAAATTTATGTATGCGTGTACATATACATGAAGACAGGTCACAGTACTCCTTTGCTCTGTGACTTAAGTTTATATTACTATTTTTTAAGCAAGGAGAGATATTGATTGTCTTTCCAGGATATCACAGATCTGTTTTTTATCACAGATTAGTGACATCTTGCTTAAGTGTCCTAATAAACAAAATATATGATCCACTTTAGGTGTATTGGTTAGGCAAGTACATGACACATAATGGAGATATACCCCAAGAAAATTAATAAGTCTGCTAACAAATTGGTGACATTTTTGCAGTGTCAAGCCAAAGTAAAAAACCCGATGCTATACTTTCTACTTTGACTCTCCTACCACAAAGAAAAAGCAACCATTATTTGTAGGCCCCACTGATTCTGAAGGGAATGTTTGCAATATTTCGGTTCTAAACATATTAAAAATGAGGAACTTTTGCGAATCAAAATGTGAAGTTTTGAGCCTCCTAAATGAGAGCTCAGCAGCTAACTCTGGACTGGATACACAGATCTGAGATTGTTGATTTCGAATTCATAGTTCATGACCTGACTTTGGATCAGCTGGAGGACTGAAGTCTCACTAACATTCTGAGGGGAGGAATTATGGAAGGGTCAGGATGATACTAAGGAGAACCTAATTCATGTTTCAAAAGCACGTCCAATTTCTAATCTTCTGGGAAGTATGTCTGGTCCGACAAACCAAAAAAAAGTCTGATTTTTAGCAATCTCATCAAGCATATAAGTATCTCTGAGGAAGAAAATGTGTAAAATAATAGCTAAAACAAAGGCTCCGAAACCAGATGGCCTCATTCAAATTCTGGCTTTGCCATTAGCTCTGTGACCTTGATCAAGTTACTTTCCCTCTGTGCCAGTTTCCTCATCTGTGATATGGGGATGCAGTATGTACTTAGTAGATTAGCTATAATAATTATGTAATATGCGAAAATGCTAAAGAGATTTCTGATAGAAAGTAGATTCTCAGCATGTGTTAGTCATTAGTTTTGCACTTTTTACCTAAAGGCATTGGCTGTAAATATTTATCTTCATATTTATTTTCTGTGGTATAGTGAATGATTTATGGTATTCGTTCACTAGATCCTTCTGGAATGAGGTGATTTATTACTTTAAAGTTTATTTCATCGTGTTTAAGATTTATGAAACTAACACTTGGAAGAATTAATCATGTAAAACTACCAATAACTAAATTATCTTGACAGCGGATACTCAGTATATCATTATGAATCCAAAATAGAGAAGAGCACCATATCCTAAGGCATCACCTCTAACTCTAGATTTGATTTCCATATCAAACAGTCACGACTTCTGTTAATTCCCGAGTTGCTGACTGACCACAGGCAGAACTTCCTAAGAATGTTTTACCTTTACTTCTGCTGAGCATCATACTGTGCTTTGAACCAGTAGGTTTTTCAATCTAGCCAACAGAATTTATATCTGTTACATTTCACCTTTCAAATTCAGCCTGCTTCTTACGTCTGTGAATAACTTTGGAGATCCTGATTCTGTCACAATATTTTGATGTAAAATAATTTTTTATGAGAATTAACTCTAACAGATTTACTTTCTTGATGGACACATTAAGACAAATTTCTGAGATTGTTAGCTAATTTTCAATCCTCCAAAATATATGATAATATGAAAGTTATTGAGAGAAAGTCTAAACTTACTTGGTATCTTTCAAAAGAAACCAGTCTTCTCTATGTGAATTTTGAAAATCAATATTGTGTTAAATAATCTCTATTTACCTAGTTCTTTACTCTACCCTTGACCATTTTGATCAATACCCAATGCTCTAGTTGATTGACTTCTATAGACGGAATTACCCAGATACCTGTGTATAGTTTCTAATTGGATTGGTCAATGGGAGACACTGAGAGGAGAATGAAGAATGAGAATCAGGGAGCACAGGGTATTAATTTCCCATGCATCCATTACCCCACCATGCCACTGTATTCATAGTAATGATGTTCCTCCAACTATAGCCAGAAGACCCAGAGCAACAGGTCCTTCCAAATTCTGGTTACCTTATACATTTATTGCTTTGTCAGGCCTAAGGTAAACTAATGGCTATCTGTTATAACTATCAATGAATATCTCAAAACCCTTTGTTAGCCCACTTAGTCCTGCCTATATTTCTATATCACTTATATAAATCTGATTTTTAGTAATCTGATCAAGCATATAAATACCTCTAATGAAGAAAAAATGTCTTATATTATCATTTAAGCTCTGTTGCTCTTTTTTTTTTGCCAGGAATCTGATTGCTACAATCACCAATTTATGTAGTTATGCAAATATTCATGAATATATATTCATTTTTCTTTTTGGTGTCTTGAAATTCAGCATAAGTTATTTGTCCAGTGAAAACGTTTTATTGGCATTTTATTCATAATATGAAAAAAGTACTATTACTATTTTATAAATTATATGTTATATATAATCTTATTTTACATAGTTTAATAGAAGCAAGTTTGTTATTAGTATTATTCATAAAGCCTCATATGGTGTTGTTACATACTTTGATTAACAAATGATTTTATTTCAACCTTTAATCTGTAGATTTCACAATGTAAGCTAAAAAGATTCCTTCAATGATACAGTCTAGATGCAGTAAGTTAGGAAAATATTATTAACATTTTCTGAAAACACAAGGGAAACAGGAAAAATAGAAATGGATAAAGATAACAAAAGAGAAAAAATATTTAACCTACACCAAAACAAAAGATAGTTGAACTGCTTTTGAAACACATTGAAAGCATTTCTCAGCTGCAACTTTGGCAAGGGAATATGAGATCTGTCAGCAACTACTCATTATTCATTCAAATTCATGTGACTTTTAAAACTGGGCTCCTGCTTCCAATTGGTATGGGATCAAGTTCTCTGCAACCATTGCTAATATATTTTTATTCCAAGATTCACTCTTGGGTTTTTATGCTTTTAAATTTTTAGTACAAATACAAAAACTGAAATTCATGGAACTTGCTTTATTAACCAAAAATGGCTTATTTCACTAATTGGAAACTGAAGTTATCTTCTTCACAATAATTTTATTCAAAAACATTTTATTTTCAATTCCACCATAAATTGATTGTATACTTTCCAAGAACAGGAAGAAATCATTAGAAATAACATTGTAAAAACCTTAAAATTTATTTATTAATATAAACATATTTATTCCATTCTTTGAATATGTCACTTTGCTTTTTAAAATATAAGAAAGTGAGAGAGGTTGTGGGTGAAATTAAATATTCATTAGGTTAATTTAAATCATACTTACAGTCAATAGTATGACATTGTATCACATGTAACTGTGGATCACTTCTAGTGCCCACTAGAGTGACTTTCAAGTGGTATTTTTTAAAAATCTTGGAAAAGTGAATGATATAAAAGCACCATCTTTCATTTTCTTGAAATATTGGGTGTAGATACATAGCCCTCTTCTTGGTGTCTCTTAAAATGGATGGAAACAACCCAATTAGTACAACACGGGTGAGGAGGATAGTTTGGAAAAGTTAACACGCAATATCTGAAACTGTTTACTTTGCAGTTGTATCTTGAGACAACTGAATGTGAGAAAAAAAGGCACGATTTTCCTATGTGAAGAATACACTGATGACTCTCCAGATATAATATAGCAGACGTCTGAAATTCTAAATGCATTTTAAATAAAATTGGGATTAAGTTTAAAGAGACTGACTGTGGAACAGAATATTTTACTTTCTAGATATATTCAAGCTTAAAAAAAAGGTCCATTTTACTTACCACTATATATCATGCAGAGATTGGCTGGGATTTTTGAGAATTATTTTTATTAAGATGGTAAAAATTACTCTAAATATTTTAGGATAGCTAATGTTATTATGCATGAAAAATATGATTTTCTACTGGGTATGCCTGCTGAAATATGTATTTATTAAACTCTTTTAGATAATAGAATAAAAGAAAACAAAAAGATGCTTAAATTAAAAAATAAATCAAGAAAAATTCTCACAGCAAAAATTCCCATAACATTTTATTTGCATCAGATTCAATTTACTTAATAGTTATGAAAATAATAAAGTATATTTTGACAATGTGTTTTAACATTTCTGAGCAACATGGCATACATTACATTTATTTAAGCCATTGTATATGTTGTAACTTACAGGTGTCAAGATTTTAACATAAGAAAACTAATTTCTAGAAAATTATCTTGCTCTTTAAAGGAACCATCAATTGCATTTATTTTAAGTTTTCCATAATTTGCAAATTGGTTTAAAATAGAAAGATTCCTAGCAATTAACTTTTCTCTACTCCAGAAATAAGCAATCTGAAAGTTACTTTATTCTAAATGGCATGTTGGGCTTGTTCAGTGGACATCATTACTGATATAATTTGCCATGTGTAATTATTTTATTAATATGGAAACAGCTGGCCTTTCAAAATATTTTAAAACCCCACCAGAAGAAAAAGGAAATATTTCAATTTTGACCATGACAAACTAGCTTCAAACAATATACCAGGCCAAGACCAACATGATAATCAGAATAAAATACTTTTAAAATATATTGTGTCTTTTGACTACTTAGTCATTATGGAACATCTCCAACCTCACCTTTCCCAGGCCTGTTGAGTTTTGAGCCTTTCCAGGCTTCTAGAGGCCTGAATTTCTTGTATAATCCCCATCTACATGTATTTTATGTCGTGACTTCCTTCATCTTGCTGATTTACTTTCATGATCTTTCAGTCTGATAAATATTTGTATTTACATTTAAATGTTTTCATTTGCTTTTACCCTCTTCTTCTTTTTGTCTTTTTAAGTATGTAAGTGTTTTTCTGTACTGTTACGTTAGCTGTTGATCTAGGACATGGAGTGATTCAGCACTTGAGTTCAGTTTCCCTTTTTAGGGCCAAAATATACTATATGTCAATTAAATTCTAGTTCAATAAATCTTAATTCAAATGATTGAAAGGTACATTAATGATAATTTACTATTTGCTACTCAAAAGATTATTTAAAAAAGTTTTTTCCCAAGATGTGAAACTGAGTTTGTATGTATTTAGTGAGCTGGACGATAATACAATCATATAATTTATCTTTTTTTTTTTTATTATACTTTAAGTTTTAGGGTACATGTGCACATTGTGCAGGTTAGTTACATATGTATACATGTGCCATGCTGGTGCGCTGCACCCACTAACTCGTCATCTAGCCTTAGGTATATCTCCCAATGCTATCCCTCCCCGCTCCCCCCACCCCACCACAGTCCCCAGAGTGTGATATTCCCCTTCATGTGTCCATGTGATCTCATTGTTCAATTCCCACCTATGAGTGAGAATATGCGGTGTTTGATTTTTTGTTCTTGTGATAGTTTACTGAGAATGATGATTTCCAATTTCATCCATGTCCCTACAAAGGACATGAACTCATCATTTTCTATGGCTGCATAGTATTCCATGGTGTATATGTGCCACATTTTCTTAATCCAGTCTATCATTGTTGGACATTTGGGTTGGTTCCAAGTCTTTGCTATTGTGAATAATGCCGCAATAAACATACGTGTGCATGTGTCTTTATAGCAGCATGATTTATACTCATTTGGGTATATACCCAGTAATGAGATGGCTGGGTCAAATGGTATTTCTAGTTCTAGATCCCTGAGGAATCGCCACACTGACTTCCACAATGGTTGAACTCGTTAACAGTCCCACCAACAGTGTAAAAGTGTTCCTATTTCTCCACATCCTCTCCAGCACCTGTTGTTTCCTGACTTTTTAATGATTGCCATTCTAACTGGTGTGAGATGATATCTCATAGTGGTTTTGATTTGCATTTCTCTGATGGCCAGTGATGATGAGCATTTTTTCATGTGTTTTTTGGCTGCATGAATGTCTTCTTTTGAGAAGTGTCTGTTCATGTCCTTCGCCCACTTTTTGATGGGGTTGTTTGTTTTTTTCTTGTAAATTTGTTTGAGTTCATCGTAGATTCTGGATATTAGCCCTTTGTCAGATGAGTAGGTTGCAAAAATTTTCTCCCATTTTGTAGGTTGCCTGTTCACTCTGATGGTAGTTTCTTTTGCTGTGCAGAAGCTCTTTAGTTTAATTAGATCCCATTTGTCAATTTTGGCTTTTGTTGCCATTGCTTTTGGTGTTTTGGACATGAAGTCCTTGCCCATGCCTATGTCCTGAATGGTAATGCCTAGGTTCTCTTCTAGGGTTTTTATGGTTTTAGGTCTAACGTTTAAATCTTTAATCCATCTTGAATTGATTTTTGTATAAGGTGTAAGGAAGGGATCCAGTTTCAGCTTTCTACATATGGCTAGCCAATTTTCCCAGCACCATTTATTAAATAGGGAATCCTTTCCCCATTGCTTGTTTTTCTCAGGTTTGTCAAAGATCAGATAGTTGTAGGTATGCGGCGTTATTTCTGAGGGCTCTGTTCTGTTCCATTGATCTATATCTCTGTTTTGGTACCAGTACCATGCTGTTTTGGTTACTGTAGCCTTGTAGTATAGTTTGAAGTCAGGTAGTGTGATGCCTCCAGCTTTGTTCTTTTGGCTTAGGATTGACTTGGCGATGCGGGCTCTTTTTTGGTTCCATATGAACTTTAAAGTAGTTTTTTCCAATTCTGTGAAGAAAGTCATTGGTAGCTTGATGGGGATGGCATTGAATCTGTAAATTACCTTGGGCAGTATGGCCATTTTCACGATATTGATTCTTCCTACCCATGAGCATGGAATGTTCTTCCATTTGTTTGTATCCTCTTTTATTTCCTTGAGCAGTGGTTTGTAGTTCTCCTTGAAGAGGTGCTTCACATCCCTTGTAAGTTGGATTCCTAGGTATTTTATTCTCTTTGAAGCAATTGTGAATGGGAGTTCAGTCATGATTTGGCTCTCTGTTTGTCTGTTGTTGGTGTATAAGAATGCTTGTGATTTTTGTACATTGATTTTGTATCCTGAGACTTTGCTGAAGTTGCTTATCAGCTTAAGGAGATTTTGGGCTGAGACGATGGGGTTTTCTAGATAAACAATCATGTCGTCTGCAAACAGGGACAATTTGACTTCCTCTTTTCCTAATTGAATACCCTTTATTTCCTTCTCCTGCCTGATTGCCCTGGCCAGAACTTCCAACACTATGTTGAATAGGAGCGGTGAGAGAGGGCATCCCTGTCTTGTGCCAGTTTTCAAAGGGAATGCTTCCAGTTTTTGCCCATTCAGTATGATATTGGCTGTGGGTTTGTCGTAGATAGCTCTTATTATTTTGAAATACGTCCCATCAATACCTAATTTATTGAGAGTTTTTAGCATGAAGGGTTGTTGAATTTTGTCAAAGGCTTTTTCTGCATCTATTGAGATAATCATGTGGTTTTTGTCTTTGGCTCTGTTTATATGCTGGATTACATTTATTGATTTGCGTATATTGAACCAGCCTTGCATCCCAGGGATGAAGCCCACTTGATCATGGTGGATAAGCTTTTTGATGTGCTGCTGGATTCGGTTTGCCAGTATTTTATTGAGGATTTTTGCATCAATGTTCATCAAGGATATTGGTCTAAAATTCTCTGTTTTGGTTGTGTCTCTGCCCGGCTTTGGTATCAGAATGATGCTGGCCTCATAAAATGAGTTAGGGAGGATTCCCTCTTTTTCTATTGATTGGAATAGTTTCAGAAGGAATGGTACCAGTTCCTCCTTGTACCTCTGGTAGAATTAGGCTGTGAATCCATCTGGTCCTGGACTCTTTTTGGTTGGCAAACTATTGATTATTGCCCCAATTTCAGCTCCTGTTATTGGTCTATTCAGAGATTCAACTTCTTCCTGGTTTAGTCTTGGGAGAGTGTATGTGTCGAGGAATGTATCCATTTCTTCTAGATTTTCTAGTTTATTTGCGTAGAGGTGTTTGTAGTATTCTCTGAGGGTAGTTTGTATTTCTGTGGGATCAGTGGTGATATCCCCTTTATCATTTTTTATTGTGTCTATTTGATTCTTCTCTCTTTTTTTCTTTATTAGTCTTGCTAGCGGTCTATCAATTTTGTTGATCCTTTCAAAAAACCAGCTCCTGGATTCATTGATTTTTTGAAGGTTTTTTTGTGTCTCTATTTCCTTCAGTTCTGCTCTCATTTTAGTTATTTCTTGCCTTCTGCTAGCTTTTGAATGTGTTTGCTCTTGCTTTTCTAGTTCTTTTAATTGTGATGTTAGGGTGTCAATTTTGGATCTTTCCTGCTTTCTCTTGTGGGCATTTAGTGCTATAAATTTCCCTCTACACACTGCTTTGAATGCGTCCCAGAGATTCTGGTATGTTGTGTCTTTGTTCTCGTTGGTTTCAAAGAACATCTTTATTTCTGCCTTCATTTCGTTATGTACCCAGTAGTCATTCAGGAGCAGGTTGTTCAGTTTCCATGTAGTTGAGCGGCTTTGAGTGAGATTCTTAATCCTGAGTTCTAGTTTGATTGCACTGTGGTCTGAGAGATAGTTTGTTATAATTTCAGTTCTTTTACATTTGCTGAGGAGAGCTTTACTTCCAACTATGTGGTCAATTTTGGAATAGGTGTGGTGTGGTGCTGAAAAAAATGTATATTCTGTTGATTTGGGGTGGAGAGTTCTGTAGATGTCTATTAGGTCCGCTTGGTACAGAGCTGAGTTCAATTCCTGGGTATCCTTGTTGACTTTCTGTCTCGTTGATCTGTCTAATGTTGACAGTGGGGTGTTAAAGTCTCCCATTATTAATGTGTGGGAGTCTAAGTCTCTTTGTAGGTCACTCAGGACTTGCTTTATGAGTCTGGGTGCTCCTGTATTGGGTGCATATATATTTAGGATAGTTAGCTCCTCTTGTTGAATTGATCCCTTTACCATTAAGTAATGGCCTTCTTTGTCTCTTTTGATCTTTGTTGGTTTAAAGTCTGTTTTATCAGAGACTAGGATTGCAACCCCTGCCTTTTTTTGTTTTCCATTTGCTTGGTAGATCTTCCTCCATCCTTTTATTTTGAGCCTATGTGTGTCTCTGCACGTGAGATGGGTTTCCTGAATACAGCATACTGATGGGTCTTGACTCTTTATCCAACTTGCCAGTCTGTGTCTTTTAATTGGAGCATTTAGTCCATTTACATTTAAAGTTAGTATTGTTATGTGTGAATTTGATCCTGTCATTATGATGTTAGCTGGTGATTTTGCTCGTTAGTTGATGCAGTTTCTTCCTAGTCTCGATGGTCTTTACATTTTGGCATGATTTTGCAGTGGCTGGTACCGGTTGTTCCTTTCCATGTTTAGCGCTTCCTTCAGGAGCTCTTTTAGGGCAGGCCTCGTGGTGACAAAAATCTCTCAGCATTTGCTTGTCTGTAAAGTATTTTATTTCTCCTTCACTTATGAAGCTTAGTTTGGCTGGATATGAAATTCTGGGTTGAAAATTCTTTTCTTTAAGAATGTTGAATATTGGCCTCCACTCTCTGCTGGCTTGTAGGGTTTTTGCCGAGAGATCCGCTGTTAGTCTGATGGGCTTCCCTTTGCGGGTAACCCGACCTTTCTCTCTGGCTGCCCTTAACATTTTTTCCTTCATTTCAACTTTGGTGAATCTGACAATTATGTGTCTTGGAGTTGCTCTTCTCGAGGAGTATCTTTGTGGCGTTCTCTGTATTTCCTGAATCTGAACGTTGGCCTGCCTTGCTAGATTGGGGAAGTTCTCCTGGATAATATCCTGTAGAGTGTTTTCCAACTTGGTTCCATTCTCCGCATCACTTTCAGGTACACCAATCAGACGTAGATTTGGTCTTTCCACATAGTCCCATATATCTTGGAGGCTTTGCTCATTTCTTTTTATTCTTTTTTCTCTAACCTTCCCTTCTCGCTTCATTTCATTCATTTCATCTTCCATTGCTGATACCCTTTCTTCCAGTTGATTGCATCGGCTCCTGAGGCTTCTGCATTCTTCAAGTAGTTCTCGAGCCTTGGTTTTCAGCTCCATCAGCTCCTTTAAGCACTTCTCTGTATTGGTTATTCTAGTTATACATTCTTCTAAATTTTTTTCAAAGTTTTCAACCTCTTTGCCTTTGGTTTGAATGTCCTCCCGTAGCTCAGAGTAATTTGATCGTCTGAAGCCTTCTTCTCTCAGCTCGTCAAAGTCATTCTCCATCCAGCTTTGTTCCTTTGCTGGTGAGGAACTGCGTTCCTTTGGAGGAGGAGAGGCGCTCTGCGTTTTAGAGTTTCCAGTTTTACTGTTCTGTTTTTTCCCCATCTTTGTGGTTTTATCTACTTTTGGTCTTTGATGATGGTGATGTACAGATGGGTTTTCGGTGTGGATGTCCTTTCTGTTTGTTAGTTTTCCTTCTAACAGACAGCACCCTCAGCTGCAGGTCTGTTGGAATACCCTGCCGTGTGAGGTGTCAGTGTGCCCCTGCTGGGGGGTGCCTCCCAGTTAGGCTGCTCGGCGGTCAGGGACCCACTTGAGGAGGCAGTCTGCCCGTTCTCATATCTCCAGCTGCGTGCTGGGAGAACCACTGCTCTCTTCAAAGCTGTCAGACAGGGACATTTAAGTCTGCAGAGGTTACTGCTGTCTTTTTGTTTGTCTGTGCCCTGCCCCCAGAGGTGGAGCCTACAGAGGCAGGCAGGCCTCCTTGAGCTGTGGTGGGCTCCACCCAGTTCGAGCTTCCTGGCTGCTTTGTTTACCTAAGCAAGCCTGGGCAATGGCGGACGCCCCTCCCCCAGCCTCGCTGCCGCCTTGCAGTTTGATCTCAGACTGCTGTGCTAGCAATCAGCGAGATTCCGTGGGCGTAGGACCCTCCGAGCCAGGTGTGGGATATAGTCTCGTGGTGCGCCGTTTTTTAAGCCGGTCTGAAAAGCGCAATATTCGGGTGGGAGTGACCCGATTTTCCAGGTGCGTCCGTCACCCCTTTCTTTGACTCGGAAAGGGAACTCCCTGACCCCTTGCGCTTCCCAGGTGAGACAATGCCTCGCCCTGCTTCGGCTCGTACACGGTGCGCGCACCCACTGACCTGCGCCCACTGTCTGGCACTCCCTAGTGAGATGAACCCGGTACCTCAGATGGAAATGCAGAAATCACCCGTCTTCTGCGTCGCTCACGCTGGGAGCTGTAGACCGGAGCTGTTCCTATTCGGCCATCTTGGCTCCTCCCCATATAATTTATCTTTAAAATCTTTCCCAGTTGCTACAATTGGCTTAATCAGAAAGCTAAGACACTGGTATTAAGAAGACTCTAAAGTGGAATAATTTTCTATTTTTTAAAATGTAAATACATAGTTTATAAAAGTAACCCAACAAAAAGCAAGAATCTTAATATTTGCTATTTGGTCATTTAGGTAACACTAGATTTAAACATTTCAGCTACCTTTCATCATAGGCATAAATCTAATAAAAGAGATTGGCACCCTAAATTAAACTATTACTGCATATACTTTTCAAAAGGCTTGTGAGGAATACAAAACATAACATATTGCTTATAATTTTAAAGAGAATGTTAAAAAAGAAAGCTTAGCTCTTTCCATTTTTTTTCTAGAAATCAGTTTCTACTAGTCTTAAAACTATTTCAAAGTAATTTTTTGCATATTAGATATAGCTATTAAACTACAACACTAATGATTTATATGTATGTATTTGCTAAAATATTGGACTATTGTTAGGCAAGGATTACTATAAAAATAAGAATTATCACTTACATATCATAAAGATTAAAGCTAAAGGTTCAATTTTTATATATCCAGTATTTCAGAAATAAAGCACTTTTCATGTTGAAATTATAAATATAGAAGAAAAATATTCATTAATTTTCAGTAAATAAATGGTAAATTGGTTAAAGCATACAGACTTTAAACTTCCATTAACCTGAGCAGTTTCATCCTTTGAATGAGACGTTTGACCCAATCCACTCAAGTTGGTTTCCTTTCTTTGGTCTTCTAATTAAGTCATCCAATTACCAGATGTAAATGTGCTTTTATGTTCCTGATTTTTAGTCTTAATTGTGTTAACAAGAGTTTTCTCATTTATCTTTATAGATTCCATTGGTAAGTATATGCCACTACTTTGATAACAATAATAATTTGATAATACAGTTTTCCAATTATCTATAATGTTAATCTATGAAGCATGTTGGATAAGTTTGCATTATTATATTAGTAAACTTCTATCTCATAATAGTCCATCAAAAATAAGCTGATTATTTGACTAATTAGTGAGGTATGGTTAAATGACTCATTCAAAGAATGTTCACATGTGGAAAAAACACATAGTTCATTCTTTATAATTAATCCAGTCTCACAACTCCCATCAACAGGCTAGCAGAGGGGAAAAGTATAAATTTAGTACAAATCACCAATAGTCATTTTGAAAAGTGTTTGCTTGGCCAACCCATTCCTTCTCCATTCATATTGCCTTACATAAGATAGTGTGTACATATATAAGAGACGAATATGGCTTATATGATCTTGGTGTGACAAGGAGAACAAAGGGTCTTCAGAGGCAAAGTGTATGTTCTTGATTATCTTGGTCTCTGGTGATGAATAAACAACAGCTAAGCATTTAGAAATGTGGCAAGTGATTATGATTTTTCTCTTTTCACTTATTCTCAGAGTATAGATCTCTTGGAATGTCGAACTTCTGCTCACTGTTGCTCTGTGACTGTGGCACATCCCCTCAGATCTTGGAGTCCTTACCCATACAGTCTTCTTTCTTCTCACTCGCAATTTTTCCCCAGAAACAGGGACTCAGTATTTACACATCTCATTGCAGTTTTCTAGCCAAAACTTTGCTTCTCCTCTACACTGAAATTGAGCCAGGAGAGCAACAAACTCACTATTTCGACACAGGCCAATCATGCTGCTATACTTTAGCCCAAGGCTGATGGACACTGGGTATAGGTATTAAACCAAAAAAACAATTTATTATTGGGCACATGAGTTTTTGCTAAGTTCTCACACCCTCTTCATGGGGATTCTATGGGACTATATTCACCTATTCGTGATATTCTCAGTCCCTTTCCCTTCATATCTGATGGCTCCAAAATGTCTCCTATTCTAGAACATTCTTCCACCTAAATAGAGAAAATAACAACAAAAACAGAAGCTTGGCTCCTGTTGTATTTTATTTCTCTTCTTTTTCTGCTTAAAATCTACTGGGAATAGAGGGGGAATCTTTCTCCCTTTTTCTTTATGCCTAGGAAGGATCTCTCATACATAGCAAATATACAAAAGACCATGTCTGTAGGCTTTCTTAGGCTAAAAAAGGTGGCAAAAATAATAAAAAAGGAAAGATAAGTATTCTATTTTTTTCTCAACCATATGTGGATATTAAATCTATTTTATGAATACAGAAATCAAGAATGTGGGCTTCCATCTGAGCAATAGAGAAGAGAGTAAGGGCACAGCAGAAAAGCTACAAGAAAACATAATTTAAGTTGAAAATAAAAATGTCAACATTTTTCGTTTGCACAACTGTAATTTAATTGTCTTTTCTCTCTTAGAATGGTTGGCAGTTTATTTACTCACTCAACACTTACCTTGTCGAGTGTCTGCCATTGTCAAAGCATTCCTCAGGGCTTTGTGAAAGAAACACAATTGAATAAGACCCAGTTCATCTTCTCAAAAAGTTTGTCATTCTAGGACAAACATACAATCTAAAAAATGCATACATGTGCTGTCAATAGGAAAACTAAATACAAAAGTGTTTGCTTTTTTTTTTTGCTATGTATTCTGGGATCATATTTCTTTAAAAATGTTATATTTCTTTTAAAATTCTTGTGATGGATTAGATTTTAAAATTTTTGTAATTAGTTATCACTTCCATAATTCCTTCAGTGATGAAAGTAGAATGTCAATAAACTTGACTTTGCACATATATTTTTAAAAAAAGAAATTAATTTCAGAACAGTTATATATATATATATACACATGCTATATATATATACACACTATATATATACACACACTCAGAACAGTTAATCAGAACAGTTATTTGTCATATATATGTATATATATACATGTATATATATACAGTATACAGTGATAATCACACAGTGTTTATCAGTGTAATACACACACACACACACACACACAACTTTTTCTCCCCCAGCCTTTTTTTGGATAAAACAAATATTTCAAATGTAGTGTGAACTGCAAACACTCCCTTAGGAGTCAGTTAGTACTTAGCAGTATTTGTCTTTTGTTTTTCTCTAATGTTGCTTGACTAAGTTTTACTTAGTTACTTTCATATGTGGGCCTGTTGGCAAGAAGTCTTCAAAGTATTTGAAGAGACAGTGTCTCTTTACACACCACAGTGAAAGTTTGGATAAATTACTGTAGGGAAGAGCAAATGGATTAACCTTGGTTGGATCCTGTCTGAAAATCAGTCTACATTCAGTTTTTTCAGATAGTTAAAGAAATAGTCAGTATAACATTTTACATCTTCTAATATTCTAATTAAAATAAAAAAGTATATATAAATGCTATGTATTTAATTATTGTTAAAAAATTACATGGATTATCTGCCCACTTGCCAACTTTTTCAGAGTGGTTCAGAAGATTCAAGAAACTATCTATTTTGATTACAAACTCAGTTATCTTATTCAATATACACTCTAGTATTCTAAGAAAGCTATCTTACACATTTTATTTGCTTCAAAAGCCTAATAAAATGGTTAATTAAACCATATAATATAAGAGAGCTATTTTGGTTAGATACTTTCCTTAGAAATAAATCTGATTGAACCTTCAAATTGTAAATTATGGCAAGAAAGTTAATTCAAATATTAGCAAAAAAAAATAAAACCTGTGACTATTTTTCCTACAATTAAAGAAATAATGTACAAAACAAAGCCTAACAATAAAAGAATAAGATTATTTAAATATGAAAATAGAACTTATGATTAAAATGCTTTTAAATTTAAATGCAAAATTAATGGTTAGAGATAACGTTCTTGTCATTAAAAAAAAAAAAACAGATCCTTGATGTATATGTGCCAGTATATATATGTAACAAACCTGCACATTGTGCACATGTACCCTAAAACTTGAAGTATAATAAAAAAAGAACCTCAAAAAAAAAAACTGATCCTATATCCAGAGTGAATTTACAATTTAATCCATCTTTTGATAAGTATCAAATATATGTAATATAGAAATGAATTCTACTTAGTTACATTTTAATTTTATATAATATATTCATTTTAGTTACAAAACCTGTTTAATTTCTTTGTAAATTCTATTTCACCTAACACTGATATATATATATATATGTACACACACTGCGTGTATATATATATACGTATATAGTATATAGTATATATATAGTGTGTGTGTGTGTATATATATATATCTGCTTAAGATTGTCTTTCATTGATTTTTTTCTAGGTGTTAACCTTAGTCTAGAGTCTATGTTATTGAGCTTCCTCTCACTGATTATCTTCTACTGTTTCTTTAATATACAAACACATTCTTACCTAAGAACAAACAATGATATATGTAGAAGGCAATACTGTCTAGAAAATGGAATGTGTTTAACTTCTTCAGCTGTTGAATATTGCAATCACACATGCTGAAGGTCGGCCAGATTGCTTTGCCATGGAATACCTTGAGAATGAAATACAGGTTTGTTTGAAGCACGAAGGGAGGTGTTTCAGAGCCTGGGCACCTTTCCTTACTATGGCTGAGAATAGTAGGTTTCTGTCTCTCCCACACAGTTAGAAAAAATTATCTATTTCAAACTGAATTGAAAAATCGGTTTATCTATTTCAAGCTGAATTAGCAGCCTCTTGAATAGGGGTGACTTGGCATGTATACACTTTACTAAAGGTAGCATTCTTACTACTATACTCAGATACATGGTTTGCAGAAAAAGGGGGACAAAAACTGTTTGGTTTAGCATTAGTCAAGGGACAGTACGAAAATCCTCTAAAGTAAAGGTAAATACACATCTTCTGGGTTTATAATCACTTAACAATTTCTATTTGCAAAAATAATCTACATCTGTGTAAATTATGGTAAATGGTGGAAGGAGAAAAAGTGAACCCCAGAGAAGTAGTGCTAACAACTTCCACCTTATGGTATCACATACATCACATTCAATAAATATTGATTGAATTATAATCAATACACAAATGGAAATGAGGTATATATATATATATTGTTATATAAGTCAAAAGGTAAAATATTTAAATGTTCTAAATTAGTTAAGGTATGAGGATAAAAACTAAATCATTTATGATAAAATGATCATTAAGATCAATATATTTCATGGCTTAAACGTGTTGTAAATACGTATGAAGTAACTTAAAGCACTTTTATGTGTTTATTCTGCCCAGGTTATTATAAAAATGAAACAAAGAAAATTAAAGAAAAGATGAAGCAGAGTTTTGAGAAAACCTAGATTCAAAACATACACGATGATTTCTAAAATTAGTTGATATTTGTCAAAAACCATAATATTCAGAATATATTCCAAAAAAATTCAATGTTTACCCATATAGTAAATTATACAATTAGCGAATATTAACAGATCTATATGTCTGTTAGCCCTTTATAAATTACTGTATTATTTCTGCCTATGAAATACTTGGTGTCTTGCAACTAAGGAAACTAAGCTATAAAAACATTAATGAACTGGATAAAATTATATAGTTCATGGCTAAGTGGAGAAATTTGGATTCAAAACATAACAGCTTCAGTTCCAGAGCTGATGTAAGTAACCGCTGAATGTACTGTCTTTTCTAAAGCTGATGTCTAAAATCATCCATTATTATTTTAGTAGCAAAAGGTTAGAAAACGTACAAGTATTACCCTCAGGCCACTGATTAAATAAATTGTAACATAACTGTTCAATGGAGAATTACATAGCTGTTAAGTAGAATGAGGTAGCTCAATATGTACTGATGAAGGCTAACCTCCAAGATATATAGGTATATATAAAAGCAAGGTTCACAACATTCTGGATGGTATTTTGGGAGACAAATATGCATATAAATATATTTTTGTGTGCGATGTCTCCAGAATAGTTTAGAAGGGACTGATTCCTGTGATTACCTGTGAAGAGTAGAACTAAGTTTCTACATATATAAGGCAATGGGAATATATTCCTCATTGTAATTTTTTTTCTGATATTTTAAAATTTTTTACGTGCTCAAGTATTACCATTTTTAAACAGACAGAATTTATTTTTCAAAGCAGTTTTATGTACAAAAAAATAAGATTCCACACTAGAATAGAAATAGAAAACTTCCTACAAAGACAAGCCCAAGTACATATGATTTCCTGATGAACTCTACCAAACATTTTAAAAAATTAGCCCTGGCTTTTTATAGATGCTTTAAGATATATACAGAAGGAGGGAATACTTCACAACTCTTTCTATGAGGCCAGTATTACTGTGATACAAAAATGACATGAAGACTTCACAAGAAAAAAACGTAAATCAAAATTCATCATGAATATACATGTGAAAAATCCTCCATGACTTAGAAAACTGAATCTACCAACATAAAAAAGAGGATTATAGACCATAACCAAATATAATTTATTTCTTAGGTGTAAGGCAAGTTTAACATTTGAAAACCAATGTAATCCATGATATCAATAAACTAAAAAAGAAACCACTTATGAACATAAAAATTATCAAAGATATCTCAGAAAGCCAGATCCAGTAACATAAAAATGACTGTCCTCCATGAAATGGTATTGATACCAGGATTGCAGAGTTGGTTTAACATATAAAAATTAATTAATATAATACATCATATTAATGAAAAAGGACAAAAAACCCAATGATCATCTTAATACATACAGAAAAAGCTGTTGATAAAAACCAAATCCTTTTTATGGTAAAAATAGTGAACTAGAAACAGGAGGGAAGTAAATTGCTCAACTTCATGAAGAGCATTTATTATAAATCCTCAGCTAAGATCATATTTATATTGAGAGAAAAAGCTTTCTCTAAACATTAGCATATGGATGTTTGCTCTTGCTACTTTAATTCAACATTGTACTGAATGTTTTAGACAAGATAAATTAGGCAAGAAAACAAAAATAGATGTATGTTAAAATGATTTTGTAGATGACATAATCATATACCTAGAATCTATTAAGAAATAAACATATATACACACTATTAGAGCTAACAAATGAGTTCAGTGAAGTCACAAGACATGAAATCAACATATAAATATTAATGGTAATTCTGTGCAGTAACAATGGAAAATCCAAAATTGAAATTATAAAAATAATTCAATTCATATTAGCATAAAATATAATAAAATACTTAGGAATAATTTTAACAAAAGAAATGCAAGACATGTACACATCAAACTACAAAACACTATTAAAATAAATTAAAAATAATATAAATCAATGGAAATATTTCCTGGGATCATGAACTGATTAAATATTATTAAAATAGTAATCCTCTCCAAAATGATCAATAGATTCAATACAATGTAAATCCAAATTCAGTGTTTTTTTTATGGTAATTGACATGTTGCTTCTAAAATTTATACATAATGCAAAGATATAAGAATATCGAAAGTAACCTTAAAATACTGGAGGGATCACATTCCTGCAAATTTCACAATGTTTTTCCAAAACAAGAGTAAATAGGACTAAGTAATACCATATTAAACCTAGACATACACATCAATTAAAAGCCCAGAAATAAAGTCATACATGTTTTGATAAGAATGTCGAGGAAATTAAATAAAAAATGAACAGTCTTTTCAAACAATAATGATGGGAAAACAATATTCACCAGTAAAAAAAAATGACATCAGATTCATACTTCAGGCCACATGTAAAAATTAACTAAAAATTGATCAAACAACTAAATGTAAGAGCTAAAAGTGTATATGTCTACTAAGCAACTAAGCAAACATAGGTATAAATCTTTGTGACTACAGATTAGAAAATGAATTTTTAGATAAGACACTCAAAAAACAAGTAACCAAAGATAAATAGATGATTTGTTTTGTTGTTATTGATGTTGTTGTTGATGTGTGTGTATGTGTTTCTTTAAAAAGATATCAAGAAAGCAAAACACAATGACACAACAGAAGGAAATATTGCAAATCACGTATCTGGAAAGAGTTTAGTATATTCCCTTTTTATAGATAGGAAGACTCGATATTGTCAAGATGTCAGTTCTCTTCAATTTATTGTATAAATTCAATGCAATTTCCTTCAAATCTCAGCAAGTGGGTTTGTGGCTATCAACAAACTGAGTCTAAAGTTCATATTGAGAGGCAAAAGACCCAGGATAGCTGAAACCATATTGAAGGAGAAGAACAAAGTTAAAAGACAAACACTATCTGACTTTAAATTTTACTATAAACCTATTGTAATCAAGGAAGTGTGATATTGGCAAAGTAATAGATGAATAAATTAATACAACAGAATAGAGAGCACAGAAATAGACCCACATACATATAGTAAACTGATCTTTGACAAAGGAGCAAAGGCAATACAATAGAAAAAAAGATAGTCTTTGGAACAAATCGTACTGACAAATACTGGTAATCCACATGGAAGCAAATGAATCTAGACACAAACTTTTTAATAACTTTCCTAAAAATTAACTCAATGTGTATTACAGATTTAAATGTGAAACGAAACCCTATAAAACTTATAGAAGGTATTATAGGAGAAAATTTAGATGTTGAGTTTCGTTATGACTTTTTATGTACAACATCAAAGACATGATCTATGAAAGAAAGGATTGATGAGCTGGACTTCAATAAAATTAAAAAGTTTTGTTCTGTGAAAAAACACCATTAAGTAATAAAAAGAAAAGCCATAGATTGGGAGGGAATATTTGCAAAACTATATTTGATAGAGGACTGTTCTTCAACATGTGCAAATAATTCTGAAATATCAACAATAAAAAAATAACCTCATGAATAAAAGGGCCAAAGACCTTATTAGATATCTCAGCAAAGATATACAGATAACAAACATATGAAGAGATGCTCCACATAATATATTATCAGGGAAATGAGAATGAAAGCATTAATTAGATACCACAACAAACCTACTAGAGCAGCTGAAATCCAAAACTGTCAACACCAAATTCTGGAAAGGATGTGCAGCAAAAGAACTCTGATTTATTATTTATTGATATGGAAATGCAAAATGGCACAGCCACTTTGGAAGACAGCTCAGCACTTTTTTACAAAACTAAATATTCTCTAACCATGATATCATCTCTTTGGTATTTACCCAAAGGAGATGAAAACTTCTATCTCCACAAAAACCTGCACATTAATGGTTTTAGTAGCTTTATATATAATTAGTAAAACATGAAAGCAACCAAGATGTCCTCAGTTAGTAAATGGATAAAAAGCATGCCACATATCCAGACATTGAAATGTTATTTAGGGTTAAAAAGAAATAAGCTGTCAAATCATAAATAGGTAGGAGGGAAACAAACATATTTTGGTACTTGAAATAAGCCAAAGTAAAAAGGCTACATACTGTATTATTTAACTGTATGACATTTTGTAAAATATAAAACTATAAAGAAAGTAAAAATATCACTGATTGTTCAGGGTTTAGGAGGGAGGAAGGGAAACATGCAGAAAACAGAATAATTTTAGGGCAGTGAAACTACTCTATAAAATACTATACTGGCAGATACATATCCTTTTACATTTGTCCAATACTTTATAAAGGAAACCAAAAGTGAAGCCTAATGTAAATTATAAGCTTTAGGTGATAATGATGTGTCAATGTAGAGCCATAAATTGTAACAACTACATCACACTTGGGAATATTGATGATGGGGGAAGACATGCATATGTGTGGGCAGGGAGTATATGAGAAATCTTAGTGCCTTCTGGTCAATTTTTCTGTGAACCTAAAACTGATCCACAACAATACATTTTATTTAAAAATAAATAGATAAGCTAACCTGTCTAGAAAAGAAAAGCACCTCATATCCTATATAGAGAGGATACATATGTATAGACGATATATCTATCTCCTTGTGTGTGTGTGTGTGTGTATGTATATATATATATATTCAATAACACAGAGCAAACAGCTCATTTAAAAACAAGTGCAGGATTTGATTAGAAATTTATCCAAACAAAACACACAAAAATACAATACATGTAAACCTGCTCAATATCAATAATCATTGGAGAAATACAAATGAAAGCCAAAAGGAGGTATCACATTACATCCAGTAGAATATATATAATAATATTTATTTAATAGACAATAAGAACTGTTGGTGAGTATCTTGGTACATTTTCTGCTCTTAAACCAGAATGTCCAAGACTGGTAATTTATAGTAAATAGAAATTCATTGGTTCACAATTCTGGAGGCTGGAAAGTACAATATCCAGTTGCCGACATATTGAGACTTTCTTGCCTCATCTTCACATAACACAATGTAGTAGTGCAAAGAGTCTACACAGCAAAAGAAACTATCATCAGAGTGAACAGGCAACCTACAGAATGGGAGGAAATTTTTGCAATCTACCCATCTGACAAAGGTCTAATATCCAGAATCTACAAAGAACTTAAACAAATTTACAAGAAAAAAATCAAACAACCCCATCAAAAAGTGGGCAAAGGATATGAACAGACACTTTTCAAAAGAAGACAGTTATGCAGCCAACAGACACATGAAAAAATGCTCGTCATCACTGGTCGTCAGAGATATGCAAACCAAAACCACAGTGAGATACCATCTCACACCAGTTAGAATGGTGATCATTAAAAAGTCAGGAAACAACAGGTGCTGGAGAGGATGTGGAGAAATAGGAATGCTTTTACACTGTTAGTGGAAATGTAAACTAGTTCAACCATTGTGGAAGACAGTGTGGTGATTCCTCAAGGATCTATAATTAGAAATACTATTTGACCCAGCAATCCCATTACTGGGTATATACCCAAAGGCTTATAAATCATGCTACTATAAACACACATGCACATGTATGTTTATTGCAGCACTATTCACAATGGCAAAGACTTGGAACCAACACAAATGTCCATCAATGATAGACTGGATTAAGAAAATGTGGCACATATACACCATGGAATACTATGCAGCCATAAAAAAGGTTGGGTTCATGTCCTTTGTAGGGACATTGATGAAGCTGGAAACCATCATTCTGAGCAAACTATCGCAAGGACGGAAAACCAAGCACCGCATGTTCTCAATCATAGGTTGGAATTGAACAATGAGAACACTTGGACACAGGGTGGGGAACATCACATACGGGGGCCTGTCATGGGGTGGAGGGATGGGGGAGGGATAGCATTAGGAGAAATACCTAACGTAAATGACAAGTTAATGGGTGCAGTGAACCAACATGACACATGTATACATACTTAAAAAACCTGAACATTGTGCACATGTACCCTAGAACTTAAAGTATAAAAAAACAGTGGCAAAAATGAGTCAATTCATGCCATTTATAATGGCATTAATCCCCTTATATTGGTGAAGCTCTCCTGGCCTAATTACTTCTCAAAGATCTCACCTCTTAATACTGTTATAATGGCAATTAAATTTCAACATGAGTTTTGTTTCTTATTTTCTTATTTTAAGTTTTATTTACTGTTCAGGGGGTACTTGTGCAGATTTGTTACAAGAGTATATTGGGTAATGCTGAGACTTGGGATTCTATTGATCTCATCACTGAGATAGTGAACATGGTATGCAATAGGAAGTTTTTCAGCCGTTTTCTCCCTTCCTTCCTTCTGTCCTTCCTTCCCTCCTTCCTTCCTTCCTTCCTTCCTTCCTTCCTTCCTTCCTTCCTTCCTTCCTTCCTTCCTTCCTTCCTCCTTTTGGATTCCCCGGTGACTATTGTTCCCCTTTTTATGTCCATGTGTACATAAGTTTAGTTTTTACTTATATGTGAGAACATATGATATTTAGTTTTCTGCTTCTGTATTAATTTGCTTAGGATAATGGCCTCTAGATGCATCTGTGTTGCTGCAAAATACATGATTTCATTTTTTATGGCTGCGTAGTATTCCATGGTGTATATGAACCACATTCATTTTCTTTATCCAGTCCACCATTGATGGGCCCCATGGTTGATGCTTTTTATTTTCCTCTGTGAATGGTATAGTTTGACTGTGTGTTCCTGCCAGAATCTCATGTTGATATGTAATACCCAGTGTTGGATGTGGAGCTTGATGGTAGGTGATTGGATCATGGGGATGGGTTTTTCAAGAACGATTTAGTACCATCTTCTTGGTGCTGTCCTCAAAATAGTAAGTTCTCATGAGATCTAGCTGTTTAAAAGTGTGAGGCACCTCCCCTGTCACTCTCTTGCTCCTGCTCTGGTCATGTAACATGCCTGCTCCCCCTTCATCTTCTGCCATAATTGTAAGGTACCTGGGGCCTCTCCAGAAGCCAAGCAGATGCCATCATGCTTCCTGTACAGCCTGCAGAGTCATGAGTCAATTAAATATGTTTTCTTTATAAAGTATTCAGTCTCAGGTATTTCTTTATGGGAATGCAAGAATGGACTAATATAGAAAATTGGTAGCAATGAGGGAAATAATGCTGTAAAGATACCTGAAAATGTGGAAGTAGCTTTGGAATTGGGTAACAGGAAGAGGTTGGAAGAAAGTTGAGGACTCAAAAGAACATAAGAAAATGAAGAAAAGTTTGGAACTTCTTGGAGACTAGTGAAATCATTGTGTCCAAAATGCTGATAGTGACGAGGGCAATAATGCCAAGGATGCTGGAATCTCAGTTAGAAATGCGGAACTTATTGGGAGCTGGAGTAAAAGTTATTTGTTATGCTTTAGCAAATAACTTGGCTGTATTGTGTCCATTCCTAGGGATCTGAGGAAGCTTGAACTTGAAAGTAATATATACATATATAACAAACCTGCACGTTGTGCACATGTACCCTAAAACTTAAAGTATAATAATAATAAAATAAAGAAAAAAAATGCCAGTATCTTGATTATTCAGGTTCTACAGTAATCCTTAAGTCAGATAGTGTCAGCCTTCAAAATGTGTTCCTCTCAAATTTGTTCTTTTTCAAAATTCTTCTTGCTATTCTAGGCCTTTGAATCACATATAAACTTTAAAATTATATTTTGATTTTTTAAACATATGCATACATGCACATGCATACACTTGATTGCACATGTACACACACACACACATACACACACACACACCTGGGATTTTGAATAAGGTTACATTGAAAATACACATCAATTTGGAGACATTTGACTTCTTAATAATATCATTTTCTAATCAATTCACATGGAATATTTCTTCATTTTGCTAGATTTTAAATTTCTTTTTACCAATACTTATAGTTTTCATTATACAATGCATAGACTTCTTTTGTTAAATGTATTTATGTTTTATTCTTTTGATGCTATTTTGGATACTTTTATAATTTTATTGTTAGATTATTCAATGCTAATATACGGAGTTAAAACTGACCTTCACTGTACGTTGATCTTGTATCCTGTGACATGATATACCTCACATATGTTTTATATTTTCCTTGGAATTTTCTATATGGATGTTCATGAATTATATAAATAGAGACCATTTTAATTTTTCTTTGTGATATGAGTAATTTCTTTTTTAATTGCTTTATTTCACTGCCTAGTGATTTCAGTACAATATTGCAGTAGTAATGAATATCCTCAAAATTTTTCCCCAATCTTAGGGTGAAAGCATTCAATAATTACCATTAACTATGGCGTTAGGAGCTAAATTTTTTAGATTATTTTCATGAGGCATAAAAAGGTTTCCTTCTATTCATACTTTGCTATGGACTATCCTAATGAATGAATGTTGAATATTGTCAAATGCTTGTTCTTCATTTATTAAGATGATCATGTTCTTTTGTATTTTGTAATGAAAAGAGATAAAACATATATGTTTTCCTAATATGACTAATTACATTGCCTGACTTTCAATTAATAAATCTTGTGTTATTTGAATAAACTCCAGTGGTCATGATTCATTATCCTTTTTTATGTAGAGCCATCCTTCATATTCTAAAAATGAATTAAAAATTTTTGTATCTGTATTGATCAGAAATATTAGTCAGTAGTTTTCTTTTCTTGAGAAGTCTGTTTTTCAGGTCGGTGTAATCCTGGTATCAGAGAATATCTCATGTTATCTTTCTGATCAAATTGTGAACAGCTGTACCCTTTCTTCTTTAAATATTTGGTAATATATCAGTAAAACCATTTGAGCCTGAAGTTTTTGTTGTTACAGTCGTCACTAAAGATTTTTAATTGTGAATATGATTTCATGGATATATGGTTATTCATGTTATATATTTCTTCTTGAATGAAATGTGGAGGTTAGTTTCTTTCATGGTATTTTTCCATTTCACTATTTTTTTCAATTTATTGGCATAAAATTGTTCACAATATATACTTGTGATTTTGCAATTTGTAGGATGTGAAAAAGTATTCCTTATATTATTCTTAATATACTTAACTTTTTGCTTTTCCCCTTTTTTTTCTTGGATGGTCTGGTTAGAAGTCTATTCATTTTATTTATCATTTCAAAGACCAGCTGTTGATTTTCTTAATTTACTCTATTTTTTTTCTGTTGTAAAATTATTGACATTTGCTCTATATTATTTTGTTCCTTCTCTTTAAAATATTCTTTTCTTTGTTTCTTAATAGAAACTTAGAATATTTATTAGATACTTATCTTTTTTCTAATATACACATTTAATGCTCTCATTTTCTCCCTCATACACTGCTTTAGCTGCATTCCAGATATTTTGATACCTTTTGTTTCCTTTTTTATTTAGTTTAAAATGTACCTAATTTCTCTTGAAACTTCTTATATTTTTGTTCTGAATCTCTAATTTATACCTGCCATCACCTAGAAATATACCTTTTAATATTATAATTTTAGTATTTTTACATTTATGGAAATTTGTTTATGGCTCATAGTATGCTCTATGTTGTTAAACATTTTATGTGTATTTATTGCAAAATTTGTATTCTGCTATTCTTAGGCAAAATGTTTAATGAAAGTCTACTAGGTTAAGATGGTTGATAGTGTTCAAATTTTCTATTTTTTGCCTATTTTATGTTTACTTTTAATATCAATAACTCAGAATGATGCATTGAAATTTTCAACTGTAATTGTGGATTATTACTCCTTTAAGTTCTATCACATTGCTTCATACTGTGATCTGTGAAAAGCAATTTTGTTAAAGATCCTAATTCTACAGACAAGTAACTATACAGTTGTGTATTTTGTGTGTGTGTACCGAAGTGAGGTAAAGTCTTTCTCACAAATAAAATGTATTTTATTGTAAACATGTTTTTCTCAAATACAATTAATATTATGCTTTCCTTTACCACACTACAAATAGGCATATGGCTACCTCTCTCAAAGGAAACAAACCTTTTATGTACTCTAAAGCTGTCAAATTTTGGAAAGTGTTGGAGTGTTCCAGAATGTATTGATAAAATGCTATATAATGTATATGACCAATGATATAATAATTTGTTTTAGTGGTTTAAAATATTCAGAATAAGTCTGACACAACTGAAAGTGAATTGGAAAAAAGGCATGTCAGTAGCACCCAGCTCTTCAATTAGCATATAAAACTAGCTGACCAGACCAAGGTGAAAGTTCAGTATTTCTATCTCTCCAAAGCACACTAAGCTTATTGGTAATCACAGCGTACTACATATAAGATGTTTCCTACCTCTGCTGAAGACTGGAGCAAAACATCTATGAGCAGAGATCATTAGATGTGCAGGCTGGAAGTAAAACTTTTCAATCCCTGGCTAGGTAACATTTAATAGGTAGCATGTATCTTTCACAGATTTTTTTTTATCTTGCTTCATCCGAGTTGACCTTAGATAGTTAAAGGAAATAAGTAAAAGAAAGTTGTTGTCATAGGGCACATAGACTTTTGTTTTAAAATGCTCATCACTTTTCTTAAAAAAGAAAAGTAATCTTATGTATGTCAGAATTTAAGTAGAAATCCTCATTGGCAAAGATTTCTGGCAATGATGGAATAAAAGGGGTTAGATTTACCATCCAAACTTAAACAACTAGAACTCCACCCCCCGACCCTGCCCGACACACACACCCAAGGATAGTAATTCCTGGGCGGAGGAAAATGAAAATGAATGGGATAAACTCTAGCAGCACCCAATTTACTGCCTGGAGAGATTACAGGATGCAACGCAGAGATGGAATATCAGTATTGGTGAGTTGAGGTAAGAGAATTTGGAGATCTCAGGAATCAAAGCAGTTAGAATTTAAGGGGTAGATTATTGGAGAAGCAGAGGCTGTACCAAGAGAGACAGTCCTGGAGAGATCCCTTTGTGTCTTTGGCAATGGAGTCAGATTCAGTGGCTGACGGAAAGGAAGGAGCCTAAGTTAAAGCATACTTTCTTCTTAGTAAAACAAACGCTAGAAGAAAATGAGTCCAGGAGAGGAGGATGAATTAAGAGGTATCTGGCCAGACATGGTGGCTCACACCTGTAATCCCAGTGCTTTGGGAGGCTGAGGTGGGTGGATCACTTGAGGTTAGGAGTTCGAGACCAGCTTGGCCAACATGGTGAAACCTTATCTCTACTAAAAATACAATAATTAGCTGGGTGTGGTGGCGGGCGTCTGTAATCCCACCTACTTGGGAGGCTGAGGCACAAGAATCCCTTGAACCTGGGAGGCAGAGGTTCAGTGAGCCAAGATCGTGCCACTGCACTGCAGCCTGGAAGACAGCATGAGACTCGGTTTCAGAAAAAATAAAAATAAATAAATAAATAATCGATCTCACCTAAGTACCTAAAAATCTTGGGAAACATGTAGGTTAAAAACAGTGTAGAACCTGGAAAGATACATGAATTAGAACATGTGATCATGACATTTTGAAAGTGGATAGGATCTCCAAGGGACATTAAGTAGAGTGATAAGGAGAAAAAAATAAAAAACAAGGGAAATATAAAATGGGTCACTCTGAGTGCAGATGAACATTGCTGTAAAACAAATACCAACCTTAAAATGTTTTAAATGATTTGAATTGCTTTCGAATTTGCAAAATGCCAGGTTGTTAAGAAGGAAAATATAGCTTTTCTAAATGAAATTTTGCTTCAAAGCAGTTATGAATTCCTCTTAAATAAATGCATAAAGTTTGGCAATATAAATTCTTCAGAACTTTTTCTGACTTAGATTGGCCATACAGTACTTTTCTTAAGAATACTGATATGCTTTAGTACATTTCTATTGTTATATTTTAAAATTCGATTTTGCAAAATCATTTTTGGATATGCTTGAAAATTATGACTTTGTATAAGCTACCCTCCTACTCATAGAGACAGCTAGAGCATAATTGTAACCTATTACTCTCCATTTTCAACATGTGTCAAATATTGGTAAATAGGAGCCTGGAGTGAACCAGCAGGGGAGCTGAATTTTCTTCAGAGACTCCGTTTCAGAAAGAAAATAGATAAGACAATTATTTAGGAAGCACTGATAGGTTAATACATGTTCATTATGGGACAACGTTACTTTCCTTTTGACATTTTAAAACAACATAATAAATACTCAAAAAGTATCTGCGAATAAAGATCACATTATGAAGAACAAATGACAAAGAAATTACAAATATGCATTTAATTTACTGTGCCCTAGTTTTTTACAGCTAAGCTTTTGACATATTCAGAAATTTTTCCTGTATATAGAAAACTAAGTACTGATTGTACCTAAAGAAAAGAAGAAAAGAACTACGTTTATTAAGTTTTCCATTTTTATTAAAAAAACTCTTCATTTTTAATGTAATGAAAACCCTTTGATTAGTACTCTGGTTAAGCTTCATTTCTTGATTTTAAGTACTAAGACACCATATTCCTCAAAATATTTTAATACATAAGACTGCTTCAAAAGTTTCAACATATTTGTGGTGAATCAAATGGTGACATCCTCAAAAAATAAGTTCATATTAAACCCAAAGAAAGTATGAATGTGACTGATATGGTTTGGCTGTGTCCCCCCAAATCTTGACTTATAGCTCCCATAATCCCCATGTATCCAGAAGGACCTGGTGTGAAGTAATTAAATCATGGGGGTGGGTGTTTCCCATGCTGTTCATGTGGCACTGAATAGGTCTCACAAGATCTGATGGTTTTATAAAGAGCAGTTCCCCTACACACACTCTCTTGCTTGGCACTGAGAGGTGACAGCGTGCTGGCAGTCCTCACAGCCCTCGCTCGCTCTCGGCGACTCCTCTGCCTGGGCTCCCACTTTGGTGGCACTTGAGGAGGCCTTCAGCGCACCGCTGCACTGTGGGAGCCCCTTTCTGGACTGGCCAAGGCCGGAGCCAGCTCCCTCAGCTTGCAGGGAGGTGTGGAGGGAGAGGCATGAGCGGGAACCGGGGCTGCGCGCGGCGCTTGCCGGCCAGCTGGAGTTCCGGGTGGGCGTGGGCTTGGCGGGCCCTGGGCTCGGAGCAGCCGGCCGACCCTGCCGGCCCCGGGCAATGAGGGGCTTAGCACCCAGGCCAGCGGCTGCAGAGGGTGTACTGGGTCCCCCAGCAGTGCCAGCCCACCGGCGCTGCACTCGATTTCTCACTGGGCCTTAGCTGCCTTCCCGCAGGGCAGGGCTTGGGACCTGCAGCCCGCCATGCCTGAGCCTCCCACCCCCTCCATGGGCTCCTGTGTGGCCCGAGCCTCCCCGACGAGTGTCACCCCCTGCTCCACGGCGCCCAGTCCCATAGACCACCTAAGGGCTGAGGAGTGTGGGTGCACGGCGAGGGACTGGCAGGCAGCTCCACCTGCAGCCCCGGTGCGGGATCCACCGAGTGAAGCCAGCTGGGTTCCTGAGTCTGGTGGGGAGGTGGAGAACCTTTATGTCTAGCTCAGGGATTATAACTACACCAATCAGCACTCTGTATCTAGCTCAAGGTTTGTAAACACACCAATCAGTACCCTGTGTCTAGCTCAGGGTTTGTGAGTGCACCAATCAACACTCTGTATCTAGCTGCTCTGGTGGGGCCTTGGAGAACCTTTATGTCTATACTCTGTATCTAACTAATCTGATGGGGACGTGGAGAACCTTTGTATCTAGCTCAGGGATTGTAAAGGCACCAATCAGCGCCCTGTCAAAACAGACCACTGGGCTCTACCAATCAGCAGGATATGGGTGGGGCCAGATAAGAGACTAAACGCAGGCTACGGGAGCCAGCAGTGGCAACACGCTCGGGTCCCCTTCCACACTGTGGAAGCTTTGTTATTTCACTCTTTGGGTCCACACTGCTTTTATGAGCTGTAACACTCACCGCAAAAGTCTGCAGCTTCACTCCTGAAGCCAGGGAGACCACGAGCCCACCGGGAGGAACGAACAACTCCAGACGCGCCACCTTAAGAGCTGCAACACTCGCCGCGAGGGTCCGCGGCTTCATTCTTGAAGTCAGTGAGACCAAGAACCCACCAATTCCGGACACAGCACCAGGTAAGAAGTGCCTTTTCTCCTCCTTTTCCTTCTGCCATGATTGTGAGGCCTCCGCAGCCATGTGAAACTGTGAGTTCGTTAAACTTCTTTTTCTTTATAAATTACCCAGTCTTGAGTATGGCTTTATTAGCAGTGTGAGAACAGAATAATACAGTGACCTTGTTTAGATAAAGGTGTATGGGCAAAGGTGGATTTGGTGTTTGCCGGTATTTTGGATTTTAGTCATTCCAATAGATGGGTAGTGGCATCTCATTGTTGTTTTAATTTGTAATTATCTGATGACATATAATGTTGAACATATTTTCATATACTTATTTGCCATTTATATATATTCTTTGGCGAGATGTCTGCTCAACATTTTATGTTTTGAAATAGGGTTGCCGTTTTTCTTACTGTTGAGTTTTAAGTGTTTTTTTTGTTTGTTTATTTTAGATAACAGTCTTTTATCACATATGTCTTCTACAAGTATTGTTTCCCAATCTCTGGTATATCTTCTCATTATCTTGAATTCTCTGTTGTTTTAAGCCAACAAGTTTGTGATAATTTTTTACTGAAGCCCTGGGTAACCAATGAAATATTGAAAAAAGATTTGTCATTCTGTTTATATTTCATACCTTTTGCTTGATTGAAAATCCACCTCAAATGGCTTAATTCTAGGTATGGAGAACTAGGAAATGCAGGAAAAGAAACCAACTGAAATTAACTTCAAAAGTAGCAGTAAATAATGGGGCCAAAATCTCTTGTGAGAAGGAATTACAAAGAAATTAGCCCAGTCATATGGGTAGTTTATTTCAGGGAACATCTATCCATTAGAGGAAGCGGTAGCTGATAAACTGAGTCCAGGAGTAGAGCTTTGGAGTATATCACAAATCTTTGAAAAGTGGGTCCCTAGTATACACTACATATTTTCAGATTGGGACTCTAAATGATACCCTGTAGGATAAACATAACTGGAAATAGCAAAGGCTTCACGGGGACTGAAGCCAGGTCCTCAATGTCTTAATTGGATTAAAGTTATCAGGGATTGCTAACGTCTCTTATCTCCGGTCAAAATTAATGAGAAATGTTCTCTGCAGAAGACAGCATGATCCTGGGATAAATTTTTCTCCTTTTTTAAAATACAGTATTCTGTAATCAATAAAAATAATGAGGACTATAGGAATACAAGGCAATAGAACAGGAACAAAAAGTAAAAACTGGACTAGAAGGGATCTCAAATTGAATTTGGATAATGTAGTTATGCCGTGTATCATGAATTTAGCCAATTCAAAATGTAGTTATGCCGTGTATCATGAATTTAGCCAATTCAATAGTGATATGGTTTGGTTCTGTGTCCCCAGCAAAATCTCGTGTACAATTGTTTTCACCCTGTCAGGGGTGTGGCCTGGTGGGATGTGATTGGATCATGGGGGCAGATTTCCCCCTTGCTGTTCTCCTGATAGTGAGTGAGTTCTCACCAGATCTGATGGCTTATAAGTGTGTGGCACTTCGCAGTTTGCTCTCTTTCTCTCCTGATCCAACGTCTGAAGATGTTCCTGCTTCCTCTCCATCTTCCACCATGATTGTAAGATTCCTGAGGCTTCCAGTCATGCTTCCTGTTAAGCCTGTGGAACTGTGACTCAATTAAACATCTTTTCTTCATAGATTACCCAGTCTCAGATAGTTCATTATAGCAGTGTGAGAATGGACTCATACAAATAGGTATCATTACCAATAAATAAATGAACAAACAAACAAAAGCCCTTTTTATCATGTGCCAGTACTGTTCTAAGCATGTTGTATGTATCAGCTCACTTAATGATAAAGATGCTATAAATGTACAGATAAGAAATCCAAGGCACAGATAATATGTCCAAGGTCACTCAACTTACAAGTTGCAGAGCTGATATTTAACCCCAAAGAGTCTAGTTCTACAACTGTGTTATGTACTGTGACACACTCCCTCTGATTAGGTAAGCATTTGTTCACTGCTGAGCCAAGTATTACTCTATTATTAACTTTCCTTCCTCTTACACTTTATTTTGCTGAAGTCAATACTTACCTTGCATTTTCCATATTTCTTAGTTTTTTGTATGTTGATTCCTATATTAATTTTTATACTATGCTCCCATAGATTACTTGAAAATTTACTTCACATGATTTGTTTTTCTTTTAGAAAACCAAACTTTCTCCTCACAGCCCTACCACTCTCTGCTTTTATCTGAACTCTTGAATCCCAGAGTTGAGTGAAAATCTATCTTCCCAGCACTCCCCGTGACTACTCTGCTAGACCTTTTTTAGCCTGTTAACATATCCATCCCTTCTTTTGTATTTTTCTTATTTTCTGGGAGCACATCCTCTATGTTCTCCCTAATTAAAAATGTTTCCGAGACTATGAACTATTGGTTTGTTTTAGAAGTATAGCTTTGTAGAGTATACTTCAATAATCCCTTATATACACTTTCATATCTGCCAAACCGCTGTTTCCAAATCGATATTTTGTGTTTATTGTTTTCGTTTTCAAAATATAGACACAAATAATAAGATATATATTTTTATTTTTCCCCACTAAATACCTAATAACTAAACAAAACTTGCTCAGAAAAACAGTTTGGATTTGTAATATCTAGATGTATTTCTGTTGAAGGGTAATAAGGTGCCAGAAGAAAATAGAAAGTATTTTATTGTGTGTTTTTATTTGAATTTGTACCTATCAATGAATTTATCATTTGTCTTTTGACAAACACAACATGGAATCAGAAAAATTAGAAATTATTTAATGCACTTCTGGTGCTTGGTAAAAGGCATTAAACCACCAGAGAAATGGAGCTATGTGAAGGTCAGAACAAACATCTTTCAATTTGGTAATCTATTAATATTTAAAGTGCTGGAAGAAACCATTAAATAAAGATATAAAAGTTTTTGAAAATGCCATTTGCTTTAGATGAAACTGTATACTGACATATACTTTCACATGATACATGAACTCTTCTTCAAGAGGTATTTATGAATGAGTTGTGAAATGTCATCATTTGCACACAAAGTTTTGTGCGGTGGTTCAAGTACTCAACTTTTTTATTGAAATTAACGTGAGTATGAAAACTATTTCCTGAGGTGGTAATATATAATGCATTGTAGTTTACTTACTCATTTTTGGTAGATAAAATAGATTTATCTATATACTAAAAATGTTCTCCAACTTTTAGCTTCAGACTACTAAGCTAGTTTCAGTCTATAGGCATAGGATTTGAAAAACAGGCTTTTTTGTACTTTAAAAAATGTTATGTGGGTAGTAAGGACATTACATTTGAATTCCCTTGCAACCAATTACTGCCTTAAAATTACAATATAAAATATATTGAATGTCATTGTCTATTTTAATTGAAAATTTATCTTTCCTTCAAAAGGATATAAAATAATGTTTTTTAATGCCTTTCTTTGACAAAAAGCTTTATAAACACTAAGTCAATAATATTGTAATCCTTACAATAATCCCTGGAAATAATTATTATTACCACCATTAAAAAAGTAAAATAAAATAAAAGGACACTGGAATTTAGACAGTATAAGTAGTTTACAGAAGTTCAAACCCCTAGTAAGTCAAGGAGGGAGAATTTAAAATTCAGTCTCTATAAGTTTAACCTTAGCTGTTTTTACAACTCTGCATGGTAGTAAGAGTATGTGCTTTGGATGTCTTTAAAGATTTCCTTTTTCAATGTTTAGCACAATTCTGTGATATGGTATTTATTAAATACACATTGATTAAATATCTGTCTTAAAAGCAATCATTAGATCTTAAGTAATTTAAAAATGTTCAGTACTTATTATGAGCCAGATACTATTGCAATTTAATCCTCTTACTGTACTTAATTCTTATACTGAAAGTTAAAAGTTACTTTATTATTTCCCACTTTACATTTTTATAAAACTAAGTCTAAAAATATTTAGTATTTTAATTTATTCAACAAACAGTATAAGTTCTTAGTATTGTACTAAGACTTAGTGGTATATTATTTGAAAAAATTGTTATATAATACATATATAACATTTAATACATATATATAACATATAATACATATGTTCTCCATCCATATGTATTATAAAGTTCAATTAAAAAGAAAGGCATTATTTCAAAATTAATATAAATAAGTTCAATATGACTGCTCTTATAAGTGCTTTGAAACAAATGCCTTTTCTCTGAATTTTGGCAAAAGCGGTATGTAACCTATTTCAGATATGTTTCATATACACCAGTAATTTCTGTAGGCTGGTTTGGGAATATTCTTTGAACTTCTACCTTCCTTGTCTGGACCTTACATCCCCAGTTCTTCCCAAAATATGAATTGTCTAATTCCTACAATAAATCATTTATTTTATCAAACTACTTCCCTGATTAGACCCTGATATACATATTGTGCCAAAATAGTCCCATAGCTTACTTACTAACATCTAAGGGAAAAACTTATCTTTGCAATAAAGAGATCTCAGAATCATCTCTACAACGAAATGATTAATTTTAGTATAACTAAGAATGGAGCAACCAAACACTATAGTAAATAATAATATGTACAATTATGTGCTTCTGTCTCTGAGCTATTCTTGTACCTGGAGAGG
Organism: Homo sapiens; assembly: GCF_000001405.40. Classification (NCBI taxonomy): domain Eukaryota; kingdom Metazoa; phylum Chordata; class Mammalia; order Primates; family Hominidae; genus Homo; species Homo sapiens. The sequence goes on along the minus strand of NC_000005.10, from coordinate 19,137,464 downwards.
CTGTTTCTGTTTATTGCTGCTTAACAAAACACTTCTTTAACTTATGAAAAAGATGTAAAAAAGATTGTAGATCACATTTAACATTTCCACATTATTTGACACAAAATAGCTCTCTCGTAAATATACTAAATTTTCAACCATTTTATTGTACATACATAAATATAGTGTATATATCTAAATTGTATATTATATATTATACAATTTATAAATATATAATATATATAAATATGTAATATATATTATATATAAATTATAAATACATATTATATATAAATTATAAATACATATTATATATAAATTATATATAGATATACATATATATTTTTTTGAGACGGAGTCTCATTCTGTCCCTCAGGTCTCACCTCAGGTCATCCACCTTCCCCGGCCTCGAAAGTGCTGGGTTTACAGCTATGAGCCATTGCACATTGTCAAGCATTTTATTATACTTAATTATTAAAGCAATTGATCCAAGCCAGTTCAACATAGCACTCAATTTCATTTGAAATTGACACAACTTCTTGGAGATTTTAAAATTGATTACTGTCTCTTATTAATAAAGATTCTGGTCTCCTGAAGAATCAAAGTTGGAAACATTAAATGTGAGAAAAAGTGTGGTTAAATTGCACTTTTCCCCTTGTTGATCTATTTAATCAGTAATTGGGAGGAAGAATATGGAAACAAAAATTATTATCTCTACTTTCTGAAAAAAATAAGTAACAGAAAAATAGTAAAACACAGTACAACATGTTACTTTTAATTATATGATAAACACATGTAAATCAGTAGTTATCCAAAATTCATCATTTACTTCATCCAAAAACACATTTAATTTGCATTCTTAAATAAGTTAAATAATCTTCTACTATGATTGGAGTCCTCATATGGTTAGCCAAGCACTTGCCTTAGAGAAAGTAATGAGCTTATTTATAAATGATATCAACAAATCTCTAGAATGGCTTTAGAATAAGGTTCCTGAACAATGGGGCCGATACTTTTCCAGGTTTCTGTTGTGTGGCTGCCATTTTATTTTGATTAACAACAGTGATAATAGTGCTACTACTACTGACAATAAATAATTCTGATAAAAATAAATAAAATTTCAAAGGAAGTCTGTCATTTTCATTTTACAGAAAAGCAAAATACAAACATGTCACAAATATGAAAGCATACTTCTTTCCATTCCATAAATTATTCTTAAATTCTAATGACTCTTCCCTGCTATGCTTCTCTTCATCTAAAATCTGCCAAATTTCCATTTACTTTGATAGGCATGATTGAGAGTATTTTACTAAAATTAATAAGTTATATTTTAAACTGTCATGTCTAATCCTAAAGTTGGTAACTTGTTAAAATGTCAGGGTCCTGAGACCCAACAAATTCCAACTTGATCAATACTCTAAGGGGAAGACACAGGAATATTAATATATCAGGACATTAATGTTTCAACAAGAACATTAGTTGATTTTGCTATAAATGATGATGGAGAAACAAATATCAGGAGACTACTGTCTTAGTCTGCATTCTAAAACTGTCTTCCAGAATCCCATCCCCCTGGAGTACATGCTTTGTATTATCCTCTTCTGCTGAATATAGGCAAATTATGTGAATATGATAAGGTTGTGATCATTGATTGGGTTATGGCACATGGAAAATAATGGTACATGGTAACTCCCATTATTATGTTATACAAGAGTCTGAAGAAGAAATCCAATAGTTTCTCTCTAACTGTCTTTGAAGAAGTAAACTTGCATGCTATAATCTGTCTATGGAGAACAAGTGGCAAAATATCGCAGGTGGCCTCTTGAAGCTGGGAGTTGTTCCTGGCTGCCTGATAGATAGCAGAAAACAAAGAACTCAGTCCTACAGACACAATAACTGCATTCTGTCATAACTAGAATGATCTTGGAAGAAGGCTGCAAGCCTCAGAGGAGACTTACAATTAAGCTATTACTTTGATCACGGTCTTGTGAGGTTTTGATTAAAGTCTTGTGTAAGCAGAGAACCCACTCAACTTATAGCCAGATTTGTGGCCTACAGAAATTGTGAGATCAATAAGTATTATTTGTCAGGCATCATGGCTTATTCCTGTAATCCTTGGTACTTGGTAGGCTGAGGCCAGGAATTCAGCACCATCCTGGGCAATATAGAGAGTACCTGCCTGAAAAAAAAATCCTATTGATCCAATACACAAATAGGATCCAAACACAAAATATTCGTGATTTTTTTACACCATTTTGGTGACATAATTTATTTGTTATAAAATTCAGTGTGAAGCTAAATTCTTGTTTTCACGTTGAAACCTTGTATCTTTGCATCAAAGATAACTGATTTTTTTTTCTCTTTATGTTCATTGTATTTCTTGGCAATATATAGTAAATGTGACAGATGGACAATTATCTCTTTATTGTTACTATTGTTGTTAATAGAATTATCCAGACAGCAAGTTAAGGATTTTTGTTGTTATTCTATCAGATAACTTGCTTTCTAGAAGATATTATGCTGTTAAAGTCACTGCAAATTTCCATTCATCAGACATATATACTTCAAATAATAAATGTGAGGTCTATACTACATAATTCATCTCTAGTGACATATTTAATACAAACCTGATTCTCATATTCAATGAACTCTAAGGCACTGAGATAAGCATGTATTCTCTTTCCAAGGCAGAAGTTTTGAACCTAGACTGTGTCAAATTCACCAAGTTTAATACTGTCTTGCCAAGCTTCTTCCTGTCTACTTACATCAGGTGATAACTCCAACTTAATATATGTCTCTCAAATAGCTGACAACTTTAAAATTCCCAAAAAAAGTATCTATGTTTTATTGAGTTTTGTGTCAATGTTGCGTTTAGCAAAGTATGGCATGGTTGCAATCAACAAAATCTGGTTGAATGAAGGAGTGATCTAATCAATTAGTTGAGATTTTTTTAATAACTGGATTTTAATTTGACATTACTCACAAAATTGGTATCAGTAAATAGATCTATAAATTAAATATAAAGTAAATAAATATATATTAAATATATATATATTGTTTGGTTACCAAGTATATATTTTATTTTCCATATTTTCATAGTAGTTTGATGAAATCTTGGTTTCCACTAGCCTAAAAATCTGAACAATAAATAAGTTTTGTATGTGCTTGAACGTTTTATTTTATTTAGGTACAATGTTATTACTGATAGTCATGTTTTTTTGAAAAAGAGATTTTCCAGTAATATATTTTCATGTGTTGTAATCCTATTCCTAAAAATGTGAAAACTAGGTGAAATGATTATGATACATGATAATTATAAAATTTATAGCTTTGCTGCTTGCTGATGTTTGCATCAGCTACTGAAAGTAATGCTGAATTATCCTGTTAAACCAATAGTAACATTAAAATAAACAAAAAATGATTGAGAACCTTCCTTGTGTACCAGGAAGTGTTCTAAGAAAATAACTAAGGATAGGTAGATAAATAATTACAGACTAGAGAGTAAACTAAATGGAGACAAAAAAAGAGAGATAAAGGAACTGTATATTATCCTGTATGATGGTAAGTGCTATAGAGAAATTGAAAGGAAGAAATGTAGAAATAGAAAGCCTGGAGGGTGTAATTTTCAATAGAGAGGTCAAGCACCTCATTAAGAATATGACACTTGAGAGAGGCCTTAAAATAATGAGGAGAGGTCCATGTGGGTATTTAATGAAGAACGTTCCAAGCAAAGGACACAACAAAGGCAGATATCAATAGATGCAGAAAAGGCCTTCGATAAAGTTCAACATCTCTTCATGTTGAAAATTCTCAATAAACTAGGTATTGATGGAACATATCTCAAAATAATAAGAGCTATTTATGACAAACCCACAGCCAATATCATACTGAATGTGAAAAAGCTGGAAGCATTCCCTTTGAAAACCAGCACAAGACAAGGATGCCCTTTTTCACCATTGCTATTCAACATAGTATTTGAATTTCTTGCCAGGGCGATCAGGCAAGAGAAAAAAATAAAGGGTATTCAAATAGGAAGAGAGGAAGTCAAATTGTCTGTTTGCAGATGACATGATTATATATTTATAAAATCCTGCAGTCTCAGCCCAAAATCGTCTTAAGCTGACAAGCAACTTCAGCAAAGTCTCAGGATACAAAATTAATGTGCAAAAATCACAAGCATTCCTACATACCAATAATAGATGAACCGAGAGCCAAATTATGAGTCAACTCCCATTGACAATTGCTACAAAGAGAATCAAATACCTAGGAATACAACTTACAAGAGATGTGAAGGACATCTTCAAGGAGAACTACAAACCACTATTCAAGGAAATAAGAGAGGACACAAACAAATGGAAAAACATTCCATGCTCATGGATAGGAAGAATCAATATCATGAAAAAGGCCATACTGCCAAAAGTAATTTATAGATTCAATCCTATTCCCATCAAGCTACCATTGACTTTCTTCACAGAATTAGAAAAAAAACTACTTTAAATTTCATATGGAACCAAAAAAGATCCCATATAGCCAAGACAATCCTAAGCAAAAAGAAAAAAGCTGGAGGCATCATGCTTCCTGACTTCAAACTATACTACAAGGCTACAGTAACCAAAACAGCATGGTACTGATACCAAAACAGATACATAGAACAATGGAACAGATGCCTCAGAAAAAATGCCACACATGTACACCATCTGATCTTTGACAAACCTGATAAAAAGAAGTAATGGGGAAAGGATTCCCTATTTAACAAATGGTATTGGGAAAACTGGCTAGCCATATGCAGAAAACTGAAACTGGACCCCTTCCTTACACCTTATACAAAATTAATTCAAGATGAATTAAAGACTTAAACGTAAGACGTAAAACCATAAAAACCCTAGAAGAAAACCTAGGCAATACCATTCATGGTTTGAAATACTGGTTATATATCCTTGGGAGAACACTAAGATGTTCAGTGCAAGGTTCTCAGATAGAAACAAAAGGGAGCATTCAGCCTGGAAAAAACACTTAAAACCAAAGAAAGAATGAAATCAATAAAAGAAGTTGTAAGCTATATGTAGGATGGTGAGCCCTAGATGGGCACATGCTATGTATCCCTACTAAGAGGAGGAAAGACACAGTTTATGGACAGTGATGCAGCTCATTTAATGGATGTGATGGTGGGAAGCTGTGAAAGTTCTCTTCTGACACTGCAGTTAACTCAGTGAAATAAAAGGAAAGGGAATTAGTTGGACCTGAATATGAAGACACAGTTATCATGTTTCAAGGTGAGGTAATAGTTTAAAAATATAATTAAGGACTCACTTGAGATAAATTATCATTAAAGTTACGCTAGTTATTCTGGTTGTGTTTTTCACCAGTTAGACCCTGTAGTGAGAGACAACCCTAAGGATCTAACTAGAATTGGAATTTTGCCAGAGGATTACAATAAGCAGAGCAAGAAACAAATACACTTGATATTTATTTATTTTAATTTTTTAAAAAGTGACATTGAAATTAGGCTGAGCAAGGATCCCACAAGATAGGTCTCTTTGCAATTGCCACCAATAGGCAATGGGGGTTTGATGTGGTTTGGTGGTGTACTCACCCAAATTTCCACTTGAATTGTATCTCCCAGAATTCCTACGTGTTGTAGGAGGGACCCAATGGGAGGTCAATGAATCATGGGTACTGGTCTGTCTCACACTATTCTTGCGACAGTGAGTAAGTCTCATGAGATCTCATGGGTTTATCAGGGGTTTCCACTTTTGCTTCCTCCTCATTCTTCATGAGGAACTGTAAGTTCAATTAAACCTCTTTCTTTTGTAAATCGCTCAGTCTCTGGTATGTCTTTATCAGCGGTGTGAAAACGGACTAATACCATAAATTGATTCCAGTAGAGTGGGACATTACTGAAAAGATACCCAAAAATGTGGAAGCAGCTTTGGAACTGGGTAACAGACAGAGGTTGGAACAGTTTGGAGAGCTCCAAAAAAGACAGGAAAATGTAGGAAAGTTTGGAACTTCCTAGAGACTTGTTGAATGACTTTGCCCAAAATGCTGATAGCAGTATGGACAATAAAGTCCAGGCTGAGGTGGTCTCAGATGGAAATGAGGAGCTGGTTGGTAACTGGAACAGAGGTGATTCTTGTTATATTTTAGCAAAGAGACTGGTGGCATTTTCCCCTACCCTAGAGATTTGTGGAACTTTGACCTTGAGAGAGATTATTTAGGGTATCTGGTGGAAGAAATTTCTAAGCAGCAAAGCATTCAACATGTGACTTGGATGCTGTTGAAAGCATTCAATTTTATAAGGGAAGCAGAGGATAAAAGTTTGGAAAATTTGCAGCTTGACAATATGAAATTTAAGTGGGCTGCAGAAATTTTCATAAGTAATGAGGAGTCAAATGTTAATTCCCAATACAATGTAGAAAATGTCTCCAGGGTATATCAGAGGTCTTCCAAGCAGCCCTTCTCATACAGGCCCAGAGGCCCAGGTGAAAAAAGTGGTTTTGTGGGCTGGGCCCAGGATTCCAGAGCTGTGTGCAGCCTAGGGATTTGGTGTCCTGCATCCCACCCACTCCAGCCATGATTAAAAGGGACCAAGTTACAGCTCAGGCCATGGCTTCAGAGGGTGCAAGCCCCAGCCTTGGAAGCTTCCACATTGTGTTGAGCCTATGGGTGCACAGAAGTCAAGAATTGAGGTTTAGGAATCTCCACCTAGATTTCAGAAGATATATGGAAACACCCAGATGCCCAGGCAGAAGTTTGCTGTAGGGCTGGGGTCCTTATGGAGAACCTCTGCTAGGGCAGTGTGGAAGGGAAATGCGGGGTTGGAGCCCCCACACAGAGTCCCTACTGGGGCACTGCCTAGTAGAGCTGTGAGAAGAGGGCCACCGTCCTCCAGATCCAAGAATGGTAGATCCACTGACAGCTTTCAACATGTGCCTGGAAAAGCCACAGACACTCAATGACAGCCCGTGAAATCAACTGGGAGGGAGGCTGTACCCTGCAAAGCCATAGGGGTGGAGTTGCCCAAGACCATGGGAACCCACCTCTTGCATCAGTGTGACTAGGATGAGAGACATGGACTCAAAAAAGATCATTTTGGAACTTTAAGATTTGACTGCCCTGCTGGGTTTTGGACTTGCATGGGGCCTATAGCCCCTTCATTTTGGCTATTTGGAATGGCTGAATTTTCCCAATGCCTGTACCCCCATTGTATCTAGGAAGTAACTAACTTCCTGTTGATTTTACAGGCTCGTAGGTGAAAGGGACTTGCTTTGTCTCAGATGAGACATTAAACTGTGGACTTTTGAGTTAATGCTGAAATGACTTAAGACTTTGGGGCATTGTTGGGAAGGCATAATTGGTTTTGAAATGTGAGGACATGAGATTTGGGAGGGGCTGGGGGTGGAATGATATGGTTTGGCAGTGATCCCACCCAAATATCAACTTGAATTGTATCTCCCAGAATTCCCACATGTTGTGCGAGGGACCCAGTGGGAGGCAATTGAATAAAGGGGGTTGGTCTTTCTCATGCTATTCTCTTGATAGTGAATAAGTCTCACGAGAACTGATGGGTTTATCGGGGGTTTCCACTTTTGTGTCATGCTCATTCTTTCTTGCTGCTGCCATATAAGAAGTGCCTTTCACCCCCTGCCATGATTGTGAGACCTTCCCCAGCCACGTGGAACTGTAAGTCCAATTAAACCTCTTTCTTTTGTAAATAGCCCAGCCTCAGGTATATCTTTATCAGCAGTGTGAAAATGAACTAATACAGGGTTCTTGACCAATTTCACATTATACATTAAGAAAAAAAGTCTTTATTGAAGAACACTACAAGTCAGGAATCAGCAAAAAAGTGAAGACTTGGGTCTTAGGCTCTCATAATCAGAAAGCCATAAGCTAGGGCCAAAGTACTCTACTGGACAAACAGCATGGGTTTACCTTCCAGAAAAGGGAACACAGTCTCCTGTTCCTTTTCATTTTCATAGTTCAAAAGAAGACAAACTTTGTCAGTATGGACAAATTTACTAATGAGGTAACTTAGGTCTTGATTTAGATGACAGCTGCCCTACTTCTGTGGACCCTGGAGGCTGGGAGACGTTATTATGGTGCCATACCTCACAACGAGGAGAAGAAGCCACAACCATGTGAGCAATTGAATTTGGGGGCAGTCTTTTTTTTTTTTTTTCCTGGGAGGACTGAAGTGCTCCCAGTGCCAGCTGGTTTATTGTCCAGGCAAGACAGATATATTCCCATGGTCATTTTTGGGCAGCTCTGTTTGTCACGTTACACCAGTGAGGTCACAACCTATTAAAAAGGTATAAACTAAAAGGTTAATATAGTAATGTTACAATGTATTAAGAATGAAACCCATCATGATCTCATTGAATCCCTTCAGTCCAAGATTGTTCCGAAAATGATTCGGTAGAAAAACAACATAAATAATTATTAGTAAAGTGGTTCTTTAATGCCTCCATAGGTGATTTGAACAAACGTTAAAGAACTCATTATTTAAATAACTATGAACCAAAGCTTATCAGCACATATGAAAGAAAAGAAAACTGAAAGATATTGGCAAACAAAAATTACACATCTATAATTTCATTTAAAGAAAATCTTATTTAAGAGTAAAAATATTAAAATGTGCAGGGTAGAAGCAGTGGAAAATAGGATTAATGGTATTTAAAAAATCAAGGGTAAATGAGAGACTAAGCATAAATGGCATCAAATTCTCAAAGGCTACTGTAATTTTACAGCAAAATGAAATGATGAACTATAAAGCAAGGGATTTGCAAGAAGAAACACTTCTCATTGATCTATTTCATTTTAATTTCAGAAAGAACCTTCTTGATCTTTCTTATATTCCTCTTTGTGAAATATTTAACTGCACCCTGGGATGTAAAGCTTATGTTCAACAGAAGTTAGAATGAAGCACAGTTCTGTTAAGGAAATATCAAAGAACAATTGTCTTTGCTCTCTCACTCTATCTCTTTCTTTCTCTTCTTCCTTTTTATCCTTCCTTCCTTCTTTGTCTTTGAAATATTTCAAGAAGACTTACCATTTTTTTTAGTTATTAAGACATGTTATGTGTCGCCTTCTCTGTTACAACATTGGTTAGTGACTAAATGATAATGTAAGCTTTGTGTATGTAATAAAATTATAGAAGAAAATCACTTTGATGATATTCATAACACCTTGTTGAAAGATAGTTGATTTAACAAAGTAAGTATAGTCATTTGAATTGTAAAAAAAATGCAAGGAAGAAAAACTTCATTAAAAAATATCAAACTTTTGATTGCTTTTGTAAAGATAATAATTTACTTGGAATTCTGTAGGCTTTCACTATTGTGTCCTCTTTTTTCAAACATCTAAGAAAGTCAGTTGGACAGTGACTTTATAAAACAGATAATATCGTATGTTTAATGAAAAATACCTACCATTTTTAAACTCAATTTTAGCCTTCTAATCTAGTTTGTAACTATACCTAAATAAACAAATGAGATTGTCTAATGTCTTGTTATTAGAAATTGATCCACCATCAATAATTCTGTAAAGATAAGAAACATTCTGTATTGATGTATTTTAAATTTTTCCCAAAGAATAAGAAAGTAATGTGCAAACATACCTCACATCAGTATAAGCCAAATGTAAGCTCATTTAACGTGTGTCATATTCTCTTCTGTATATTTTTCCTGTTCAGTAAATGACACCTTTATGTAATCATAAAATCTCATATCATTCTTAATTATTTCTCTAACACCCCACATTCAGTCGAAATCCTCTGATCAATTTTCTGAAAGTCATTCCACACTCAGTCCAATTCTGTCAGCCTCCATTGCATCCAGCATACTCCAGGCCATGTGCCTAATTTGTTTGAACATATCAAAATTTTCATTTTGGCCAGTGTATTTTCTATACTAACATATGCAAATCATTCTCCATTTTTAAACATATAAGAATCTTTGAAATTGATCACCTATTTATGACATATTATTTCTTAGTATATTTTAATTGTTCACATAATATAGCCAAAATATCTACTATGATTTAGTATACCTTACAATGGTACTGTTTGTTCTGAACCCTGCTTAATTCTCCAGGCTGATTCTTGTTCTTTGCACAGTTGCTAACATTTGGTTGGAGGTTGAGTATACCACAAGACAGTGAGAGACCTAATAATTGATGTAGATTGTTGGCTTAGAGTTACAGTCACTGTCTCCCTGAGTGTCCAAATCAATCTATTCATTCTTGAATTATTGTCTTTATTCAGGAGCAAATAAATATCTAATAACAATGTCTTATATACTATAGCAGGATCAAGCTAAAAGTAAACAGGAGGCAATTTATCAAAGAAGATAGACAAGTGGTGGTCAATACATATTTGGAATTAATCTTAACCATCTTAAACATTAAAAATATAGATTAATGTGTACAGAAAAATTTTTAAGGTGAAATATCAGCAAAATTCTAACCCATAATTAGAATTCATTTCTGAGAAGACATTACAGGCAGGATTAGACATATATTTCATTGCTAAGGTGAGTATAAATAGATCAAAACTTTAAAAATGTAACTTACTAGTACCATTCAAAATATTTAATGTATATTTCCTAATGTTCAGTAACTCCCCTTATGAATATTTATTTTACTTAGAATACAGCTCAAGATATATGTACAAGTATAGTTGCATCATTTTTTAATAACAGCAAATCTGTGCAAAAAGCTTATGTATTATTTGGAAGAGGAATGATTACATAAACCATGTAATAGCCACACAATTAAATGCTAGGCAACCATTAAAAAAGTACAAGGTAGTTTATGTTTATTAACCTAAAAATATCTAACAAATTTTAGGGAGATAAGGCAAAGTACAAACAAATCTGAATAGTGTGATCTATTTACGTAAGATAATGTGTAACAGTTTCGTGAAATATGATTCATATTTTGCATATTTCTTTGCAAAGAAATGTGTGAGTAGATAAATAAGCACAGGTATGAGTCAGAGAGAGTGGTTTATTATAAACAGTATATATCACTTTACTCTGCAGAGTACAACGGACAGGTGGCTGTGTTTTCTTTCTTTGGGCATTTTTGGTCTATCTTTTTATAAATAAAGGATGTTGGAAAGGTGACTTATTCAGATAACAGTGTCCCCTTTATTGTCTCACTTTCAGTGAAGACGAATGAATACAGGCCCTTTCCAGAACAAAGTACTCATCTAAACAGCCCATTTCCAAATGGTCAGGAAAGGAGGGAAATGTCATTTTAATTGCAATATCTTAGTAGTGGTTGCACTGGCCTGAAATGCCCAGGATGTGGGATGGTGGTTAGAAAGTCTGGAATGCAGTGTTCACCAGGGGCTGTGAACCGAAGCACCTACACTTCATAACAACAAGGAGACATGCTAAGGATACTTTATAGAACAGTTCCTAATCCCTTCAGTGACAGATGGAGGTTACTTGCATCCTCCTGAATTTTGGCTGAACTTAGTGACTTGGTTGAATATGACACAGCTCTTGTGTAATGTCTCAAAAAAAAATTTGTTTCCATATGTTTTAATAACTAAATAGATGATTATCTGGGAAGTTTTTAGAAATCTTGAAATTAACCAACTAGGTTTTTATTCTAGTTTTCTCCACCTGTTACTTTTTCTGATATTATTGCTTATAAGTAGATATTCCAATCTATCTATTATTTCAAAAATTCCCCCATGAGAACTCAGTAAATTCATTTTCCTTCCCCACTGGTGGAATTCTAGCACTGAGACACTTTAGCAAAATAACAATACTAATTACCTTGTCCCTTGGTGTAATTTCCCTTCAGATCCTATCATTGATGTACTAATCCTCTCCTTTATTTTCCCATTTTCCCAAATCGCAGATTGATTTCTTCTAAATGAATTAAGTCTCTGTACACTTAGGAGTGTGAGTAATACACTATTAGAGGTATCACATACGTTTGAAAGCTAAAAGTTAACAGATTAAACCCTGATACTATTTCTCAACATGTTTTTAGTTGATGCAAATGCTATTCTGAAATGATGAAGGGAAATGGAGGAGAAAATGGCCAAGCATACTATGGCATAAGAGTATGCATGTAATTCCTTTTAATGAAGGTTTGTATGAGATTGTAATGAAAGTTGAGTGAGAGTAGATGTGAAATAAAGCACAAATCAATACTTTCCTCAGCCAGTCTTAGCTCTGGGGATATTTATTTCTGGATAAAACATGCTGTATATGGTAGTGTGAATTTATTGTTTAATTTTTTCTCCCATTTAATATGACCATCTAACACAAAATCACCTTTTTCTCAAACACACACACAATCATTTACATACATACAGCACTTTAGTTGAAAACTGAAGAAAAGCTGGATGGATAGGAATTTTTTATTAATATGGCATTTTTCTTATCACATATTCAATGGCAACTTATATTATATGTGATTTTTGCCTCATGTAAAATGTAATCCTTTTTAATTGATTTTCTCCTTAACACACTCTGCTTACATTTAATGCCCATTCAAATTATAAATGGTAGTCTTCTCTTGAAAAGCAAACTCCTTGTCAATTTGGTGTCCTGTAGAAAAGGAAAGTAATATCTTAAAGCCACATAGGCCAAGTTTCAGACAGAATATAATTCAAATTCCACTAATCAGCTACAAAATATTGCACATAAAGTGGTTTACAAAATGCCTGGTAAGTTCTCAGTAAATGTGCCTTTATAATAACAATAATAATAATAATATCATTGAACTTTAATTGGTAGATAATCATTTAATTGATCTTTCCCATTCTGACCCCTTAGTGTTGAACCATAAATACGATATGATACATTTAATTTGGTTAAGTAAATGAAGGTGTTTCTAGCAATAAATGTTTTCATCTACTGGGTAGATAATATTCACTCCCTATGACTATTCCGTGAAGGTAACAGAGCTTATAAAGTAGAAATACACTTCACTGTACACCTTGGAGGAGGGAATAATGCATTACTAGCTTTAGAAAGATATAAGCAATATTGACTTAATCAGGCTGTGGGCTAATTTCGAGTAAAATATAATTATACTAACAATATTTATAAGGGTGCCATTGCAAATGACTGTAATATATGGTGATAATTTCATTTTAAGAAGAGATGAGACGTAACTGTTGTTTATATTGCAGATAATGTATATAATGTAATATAAGTCCATTTGTATTTACTAATACTATTTAATGTGTAATTTTATATTCATAATGGCAATTAGTGTTGAAGAATTATGCCTCGAGCTTTATTTCTAGGGACTTAGCTCATACCCTCTCTTATTAAATATATATATTATTTGCATGCTTTAAGTTTTTAAATTTACTACAGCTTGGGAGTAATATAGGAATATGAGGTAATTAAAGAAAGCATTTTCTTATATTTATCTAAAGTATAAGAACCTTAAATTCAGTGTATTAAATCAATTTGTACAAATAAAAATGAAGTGTGAATATATTATGATATTTCTTGTGTGGTGCGCATAAAGCTACCAGGTTATAATGGCTAAGTTTAATACTCTTTATTCATATTTCCATAAATCAGAAACAGTTCTTAGAATGCATTTTAAAGTTGACCTTTTGTTATTAGCAACATGTTTTTTCATATTTGGTTAATAATAATAATTATCAATCTAACATATGAATATGAAGTTATAATACTTAATTTTAAAATTGCCATCTCGATTACAAAAATAGCATGTTTTTTCAACCATACCAAATAAGATGTAGTGAATAGGAATAATTAATAAAATTGTACTTAAAATGTATTATTCCCTTTACAAATTTACTTTACAATTTCAGTATAATTAAATCACTATTTCATCCCAAGTGCTCATACAATTCTTATTTCAAAAAGTAAGTATTCACCAAGCCACAAAAACTTAATATTTATCAAACACAGAAATAGTAGAGATTACATTATTTAACCATAATACACTACTTCTAAAAATTAATAGCTGAAATATTTAAAAATATTTGGACAAAAAACAGGTTTAACATCTGATAGGTGATGTGGTTCAAGGTAAAAGCACATCAAAAATAGCAGAATATCTAGGGGGAAATCAATGTATAGCTAAAACCTTCTCCCCATAGAATAAATAGTGACAGTTTTCAAAACTAAATATAAAAACAGGACAAAAGTATCTCTAAGGGTAAATAAGTTAATATAAATATTAAGTTTATATTACAGGTTCTTTTCTTGTTCATTTAAATAATATTTGTTTTATTCAATCAATTTACTACTGAGGATGTTTCCCTTGGTGTTTTGATATGTGTGTTCATGTTTATTGATTTATTAGTAGAGAATAATTTTATACTATTTATATTTGGGGATATAAATTATGACGTAATATATGCTATTTTGCTCAATTTTCAGTGGTTGCTTAGACATTTATTAATCACTTAATATGTGCTTGAGATTTAGTTGTGAAAAACAGAAAACTTATGTCTATACTTTTGTGCAGTTTAAATTCTATTATAGAGAGGTAGGAAATGTTTAATGTGTAATGAGTATATAGACATCTGAATAAGTAAATTGTATATATGTTAGAAGGCGATTTCTACAAATTTCTAAAATGGAAATTGGGTACAAAATGGTCGATTTGCAAATTGAAATTGGGTTATCAAGTTAGCTCTTTCAGAAAAGATGATTCCTGATTGAGGACTTGAATGAGGTGAAGAAGTGAACCAAATAAATATCAGGAAATGAGTGCAACTATGGGAACAGCTAGTCTGAAGGCCTTAGAATAGAAGTATTGCAGACACAAGTGAGGTATGCAGGGTAACTTGGGACAAGTAAGTTATGGAGGATAATGGGAAGATGTATGGGGTGATAGGTAAGACCATTTTGACCACTCTAAGCCATTATAAGAAATTTAGCTTTTACTCTGAATCAAATGAGGAATTAAAGCTCAATCTTCAAACAGAGAGATTGCATAATTTGACTGAGGTCTCATAATGATCACTTTTGTAAGAGAACAAGGATGAAAGCTGGAAGGTCAGTTAGGAAGCTATTGTATTTATCTAGATGAGAAAGAATGGTGTTTTACAAAAGATAGCACCAGTGTAGTTAGTGAGAAGCAATCATATGTTTAATAGAAATAATTTCCACATACAGCAGTACTTGCCTGGAAAGTAACAAAATTGAATGTTATTTTAATCTGTTGAAGTTGTTAACAAACCATGGACTTTGAGCAATTTACCATATGATACTGAATAACGACTAAGAATTTTTAGTAAGTGCATACACAAGATCATCAATGGAACTAAATGAATAGTCTTCCCTGGCCAATGAACAATAGGACTTGTTTGAGTCAACTATGCACAGGCTCTGGCACTTATTCTAAACCGTCTGGATTACAACTTCTCAACCCTTAATTAATCTACCATGAATTTCATCTTTCTGCACATAAAATCCTTGGCTGTTTCTCTTTAGTGATCCATTTAGTGAATTTCTTAGTGTGTTTCCTTGAATGACAATTAAGCAAAGTCAGTTTTTAACTTTGAATTTTTAAATAAATTTATCTATCAATTTATTTAATTTTAGTTTGGGTGGTTGTTTATTTACAACCATTGGAACACAGTTTAAAGCTAGTGCTAATAGGATTTCCTGATGCAATTGGATATGGGAAGAGGGACAGAGGGAGATAAAATATTTACACGAGTCTAACTGCTTGAAACAAAGGCATAATATAGTAATTTCATAAATATTTATGTTTCAAGAGGGCAGCTAATGCATAAAGACTTAAGAATACCTATTAATAAAAATAAGATATAATTGTAACTATGCAAGGAGATTTCAGAAAAGTGAATATAAACCTTTATTAATTAAGTCCACTATTGTTAATGAAAACAATGTCGTGATCCTTTTGTTTATGCATTCCCTCACTTCTGACAATCAAACAAAGGTTTTTCCACACAATATAACAGAGGCTGAACACATATTATTTGCTCTTCCTGAGCCTCTCGGGAAGAGACTTATTGCTTATTATAGCAAATATGTTTTGGAATTAGAAAATCAAAAGAAGGTAAGTATAACATTTCTCTTCTGGAAAATGAGTATAATATTACATATTACTCAAGCGTTATTCAAGATACAAATTTAGAAATTCAGAACAGTCTTAGACAACTTTTAGGCAGCTTATTTCTGCATACTATCAAGACACAACTCACGACTCACCCAGCACTTATGATATTAAGACTGATTCACCATTTTCTAGGACTTTTTGAGTGCTACAGGTAATATATTTCATTTTATAAATTTCTTTTTTATTTTTTCATATTTTATATTATATATTTATATTATAAAATGTTATACATACATAACATTTTACACATTTCTAATCTTTGTTATTGACTATTTGCATGATTTAGCTATTAAGAAGAATGGTACATCCTGTATAGTTCCTATGAAACTATATATTAAATTCTTTTAATTCCTTTGTAATATTTTTTAACTTTTATTTTAAGTTAAGGGTTACAGTTAAAGTTTGTTACGTAGGTAAACTTGTGTCATGGGTGTTTTCGTATGGATTATTTCATCACTAGGTTACTAAGCCTATTACCCATTAATTGTTTTTCCTGATCCTCTACCTTCTCCCCCATCCACCCTCCAGAAGGTTCTACTATATGTTGTTCCCCTCTATGTGTCCATATGTTCTCATCATTTATCTCCCACTTATAAGTGAGAACATATGTTTGGTTTTCTGTTCCTGTGTTCATTTGCTAAGGATAATGGCCTCCAGCTCCATCCATGTCCCTGCAAAGGACATAATCTCATTTTTTTTTAATAGCTGCATAGAATACCATCATGTATACATACCACATTTTCTTTCTCCAGTTTATCTTGATGGACATTTAGGTCAATTGCATGTCTTTTCTATTGTGAATATTGCTGGAATGAACATACAAATGCATGTTTCTTTATAACAAAATGATTCATATTCCTTTGGGTATATACCCAGTAATGGAATTGCTGGTCCAAATGGTATTTTTTCCTTTAGTTCTTTGAGGAATCACCACACTTTCTTCCATAATGGCTGAACTAATTTACACTTCCACCAACAATGTATAAGCATTCCATTTTCTGCACAATCGCATCAGCGTCTGCTGTTTTTTTACGTTTTAATAATAGCAATTCTGACTGTTGTTAAATGGTGCTTCATTTGGTTGTAATTTACATTTCTCTAATGATCAGTGAGTTGAGCTTTTTTTGCTTATGCTCATTGGACACATGTATATCTTCTTTTCAAAAGTGTTTGTTCATGGTGTTCGCCCACATTTTTATGGGGTTGTTTTTTTCTTGTATATTTGTTTAAGTTCCTTATAGATGCTGTATATTAGACTTTTGTCAGATGTATAGTTTGCAAAAATGTTCTCCCATTCTGTAGGTTGTGTTTACTCTGTTGATAGTTTCTTTTGGTGTATGGAAGGAAGCTCTTTAGTTTAATTAGATTCCATTTGTCAATGTTTGCTTTCGTTGCAATTGTTTTTGGTATCTTCATCATGAAATATTTGACTGTGCTTATGTCCTAAATAGTATTACCTAGGTTGTTTTCCAGGATTTTTATAGTTTTGGGTTTTGCCTTTAAGTTTTTAATTCATCTTGATTTAATTTTGGTGTATGGTATAAGGAAGGGTTCTAGATTCAGTCTTTTGCATATGTTTAGCTGGTTAGCCCAGCACCACTTATTAGATTGGATGTTCTTGCCTCATTGCTCTTTTGGTTAAGTTTTTGAAGATCAAATAGTTCTAGGTGTGCAGTCTGATTTCTGGGTTCTCTATTCTGTTCCATTTGTCTATATACCTGTATTTTATTTATTTATTTATTTACTTACTTACTTAAATATTACCATGCTGTTTTGGTTACTATAGCCCTATAGTATAGTTTGAAGTCAGATAGTGTGATGCCTCCAGCTTTGTTCTTTTAGCTTAGGATTGACTTAGCTCTTCAGGCTCTTCTTTGGTTCAATATGAATTTTAAAATACTTTTTTCTAGTTCTGTGAAAAAAGTCAATGGTAGCTAATGGGAATAACATTGAATCTATACATTGCTTTTTGCAGTATAGCCATTTAATTTTTCCTATTCATGAGCATGGAATGTTTTTCCATTTGTTTGTATCATCTCTGTTTCTTTGAGCAGTGGTCTGCAGTTATCCTTGTAGTGATCTTTCACCTCCCTAGTTAACTGTGTTCCTAGGTGTTTTATTCATTTTGTGGCAATTGTGAATGGGAATTTATTCATGATTTGCCTTTTGGCTTGGATGCTTTTGGTGTATAGAAATGTTAGCAAGTTTTGCACATTGATTTTGCATCCTGATAATTTTCTGAAATTGCTTATCAGCTTGTATTAGTCCATTCTCACACTGCTATAAAGGACTGCCAGAGACTGGGGAATTTATAAAGGAAAGAAGTTTAATTGACTCACAATTCCACATGGCTGTGGAGGCCTCAGGAAACTTACAATCATGGCAGAAGGGGAAACAAATATGTCCTTCTTCATATGATATCAGGAAGGAGAAGTGCCGAGCAAAAGGGGGAAGGCCGCTTATAAAACCATCAGATTTTGTGAGAACTCACTATCACAAGAACAGCAGCATGGGCGTAACTGCCCCCCATGATTCAAATACCTCCTACTGGGTCCCTCCCATGACATGTGGGGATTATGGGAGCTACAGTTCAAAATGAGGTTTGGATGGGGACACAGCCAAACCATATCGCAGCTTAAGTATGTTTGGGCTGAGACAATGGAGTTTTCTGGATACAGGATCATGTCATGTGCAAAGAGGGATAGTTTGATTTTGTCTCTTCCTATTTGAATTCCCATTATTTCTGCCTCTTGCCTGATTGTCCTGGCCAGAACATCCAATACTGTCTTGAGTAGTAGTGGTGAAAGAGGACATCCTTGTCTTGTACTGGTTTTCAAGAGGAATGTTTCGAGCTTTTGCCTATTCACTATGATGTTGCCTGTGGGATTGTCATATATGACTCTATTATTTTGAGGTATGTTCCTTCAATACCTAGTTTATTGATAGTTTTTAATATGAAGGGATGTTGAATATTATCAAAAGGCTTTTCTGCATCTATTGAGATAATCATGTGGTTTTTGTCTTTAGTTCTGTTTATGTGTTGTTGAATGAATCAACCTTGCATCTCAGGGATGAAACCTACTTGGTCATGGTAGATAAGCTTTTGAAAGTGCTGCTAGACTTGGTTTGCCAGTAGTTTGTTAAGTATTTTTGCATCAATGTTCATCAAAGGTATTGGCCTGAACTTTTCTTTTTTTGTTGTATCTCTGCCAGGTTTTGTTATCAAGATGATGCTGGCCTCATAGAATGATTTAAGGAGGAGTCCCTCCTTTTCAATTTTTTGGAATAGTTACAGTAGGAATGGTACCAGCTCTTATTTGTACATCTGGTATAATTCAGCTGTGAATCTCTGTGGTCCTGGGGCTTTTTGTGGTTGGTACGCTGTTTATTACTGCCTCAATTTCAGAACTCATTATTGATCTTTTCAGGGATTCAACTTCTTCCGGTTTAAGTCTTGGAAGGGTGCATATGTCCAGGAATGTATACATTTCTTCTAGATTTTCTAGTTTATATGCATAGAGGCATTTATAATATTCTCTGATGGTTGTTTTTATTTCTGTAGGTTCAGTGGTAACATCCTCCTTCTCATTTCTGATTGTGTTTTTTAAAATCTTTTCTCTTTTCTTCATTAGTCTAGCTAGTAGTTTATCTATTTTATTAATGTTTTCAAAAAAAAACAGCTCCTGGATTTGTTGATCTTTTGAATGTTTTTTGTGTCTCTATCTCCTTCAGTTCAGCTCTGATTTCAGTTATTTCTTGTTTTCCGCCAGCTTTGGGATTTGTTTGTTTGCTCTTGATTCTCTAGTTTTTTTAGTTGTGATGCTAGGTTTTTAATTTGAGATCTTTTTAAATTTTTAATGTGGGCATTTAGTTCTATAAATTTCCTTCCTAACACTTCCTTTGCTGGGTCCCAGAAATTCTGGTTCATTTTCTCTTTGTTCTCACTAGTTTCAGAAAACTTCTTTATTTCTGCCTTAATTTCACTATTTACCCAAAAATTCAGAAGCAGGATGTTCAATTTCCATGTAATTGCATGGTTTTGAGTTGATTTCTTAGTCTTGAGTTTTAATTTGATTGTGCTATGGTCTGAGGGACTGTTTGTTATGATTTCAGTTCTTTCACATTTGCTGAAAAGTGTTTTACTTCCGATTATGTTATCAATTTTAGCGTAAGTGCCATGTGGCAATGAGAACAATGTATATTTTATTGGTTTTAGGTGCAGAGTACTGTAGATCTCTATCAGGTCCATTTGATCGAGTGCTGAGTTCAGGTTTCGAATATCTTTGTTAATTTTTCCTCTTGATGATCTGTCTAATATTGTCAGTGGGATGTTAATGTTTCCCACTATTATTTTGTAGCAGTTTATGTCTCTTTAAAAGTCTCTAAGAACTTGCTTTAAGAATCTGGGTGCTCCTGTGTTGGGTGCATACATATTTAAGAAAATTAGCTCTGCTTGTTGAATTGAACCCTTTACCATTATTTAATGCCCTTTTTTATGTCTTTTTTTAATCTTTATTGGTTTAAAATCTGTTTTGTCAGAAACTGGATTGCAGCTCCTGCTTTTTTTGTTTTTTTTTTTTTTTTTGTTTGCTTGGTAAATTTTCCTCCAGCACGTTATTTTGAGCCTATGTGTGTCATTGCATGTGAGATGGGTCTCGAAACAGCATACCAATTGGTCTTTGTTCTTTATCCAGTTTACCACTCTGTGTCTTTAACTGGGCGATTTAGTCAATTTACATTTCAGATTAATATTGCTATCCATGCATTTGGTACTGTCATCATGATGTTAGCGGATTATTTTGCAGACTTGTTTATGTGGTTGCTGTATAGTGTCACTGGTCTGTGTACTTCTGTGTGTTTTTGGAGTGGTAATAATCTTTCCCTTTCACATTTGGTGCTTCCTTCAGGAGTTTCTGTAAGGTAGGTCTAGTTGTAATGAATTTCCTCATCATTTGCTTATCTGAAAAGGGTTTTATTTCTCCTTTGCTTATAAAGCTTAGTTTGTCAGGATATAAAATTCTGGGTGGGAAATTCTTTCTTTAAGGATGTTGAATATTGGTCCCCAATCTCTTCTGGCTTGTAGGGTTTCTGTCAAGAGGTCTGCCTTTCTCTCTAGCTGTCCTTAATATTTTTTGTTCATATCAACCTGGGAGAATCTGATGATCATGTGTCTTGGGGATGATCTTCTCAGGGAGTATCTTACTGGGGTTTTCTGCATTTCCCAAATTTGAAAGTTGGCCTGTCTTGCTAGTTTGGGGAAGTTCTCATGGATGATATACTAAAGTATGTATTCCAAATTGTTTCCAGTCTACCCATCTTTCAGATACATCAGTCAGTCATAGATTTGATCTCTTTACATAATCTCATATTTCTTGGAGGTTTTGTTCATTCCTTTTTAGTCTTGTTTCTCTATTCTTGTCTGCCTGTCTTATTTCAGAAGGACAGTCTTCAAGCTCTGAGATGCTTTTCACTGCTTGGTCTACCCTGCTATTAATATTGTGATTGCGTTGCGGAATTCTTGTAGTGTGCTTTTCAACTCTATCACATCAGTTATGGTCTTCTTTGTACTGGTTATTTTGTTTCTCAGCTTCTTCAGTGTTATCATGATTTTTAGCTTCCTTGTATTGGGTTACAACATACTCCTTTAGCTCAGTAAAGTTTGGTTTTATCCATATTATAAATTCTACTTCTGTCATTTTAGCCATCTTGTCTCAGCCTAGATCCAAACCCTTGCTGGAGATGTGATAAAGTCATTTGGAGGAAAGAGGGCACACTGGCTTTTTGAGTTTTCAGCATTCTTGTGCTGATTCTTTCTCATCTTTGTAGGTTTATCTATCTTCAATCTTTGTTGTTGCTGACCTTTGGATTTTTTTTCTCTTAACAGTCTGGCCATTTTTCCATAGGGATGCTGCAGTTTGCTGGGGATCTGCTCTAGTCCCTAGTCATCTTGGATTTTTCAGTACTTCAAGGTCTCACAAGTGCAGGCTACAAAACAGAAAAGACGGCATCCTGCCCCTTCATCTGGGAGCTCTGTCCCAGGGAGGTACAGAACTGTTGCTTTCCCAAATGCACCTGTAGGAGCTGGCTGGAGACCCTAGTTGAAGGTCTCACGCAGTCAGGAGGACTTGGATTGACGGCTTGCCTGAAGAAGCAGTCTGGCCATGCTTTCATAGAGCATCTGTGCTGTTCTTAGGTACTGCTTCTGCCCCTGGTCAGCTTAGGCTCTCCCTCTTGTTATAAATTTACTTAAGCACATACATATTTGCTGCTACTTGCAAATCATCCTGATTTCCCAAACATCAGGCGAGCATATTATCACTAGATGTCTTGATCAGAAACTGGATTCACTTGAAATTTTATAGGTATAAACCATTACCAGCGGACTGGCTACATGGTCTATTACAATGGCAACAACATCGATTACTTATCCAAGCTTTCTCCCTCTGGAAATCTCTTGCCTTACAGACACTCAAAATATAAATCCAAGTCACACAAGTTTTTACACATACTAAAGCCACTACACAAGTCCTAATGAAGATATTGCACACCTGAACACAAAGGATAAATGCTTGAGGTGATGGATACTCCATCTACCATGATGTGATTATTACACATTGTATGCCTGTAACAAAATATCTCATATACACCATAAATATATATACCTGCTATGTACCCACAAAAATTAAAAATAACAAATTTCTTAGAAAAAGACATTACATACCCCCTTTGAATTTCTAAGTGTTGACAGCTATTAAGTCAGTCATTTAACTTCTCAAAATATGCAATGCTGGGCTCTTAAATAAGGCATGCAATGGAACTTTCACCTGTCTTAGCAGTCTCAGGCTACATGTCTCACAGAGCCCCATAATAAAACAATTAAACATATTCAATTGCAATTAAATGAAACATGGCACATTTTAGTCCTCAGCCAAACATAAAGGATTAATTTTAATAAAGTGTCTTACTCCAATATTGATGTTTGACTGCTTACAGTTTTCAAGTCCCACCACTCCCCTTCTCCTTTGGTCCTATATCTGGGCAAGCTGATAAAAATCTCAGGTGATTCTTCCTTTGGTGCTGATGGCAAGTTCAAACCAAAGAAGTCACAGTCCATGCAAGGGAACCCTTACTTTACTTCTTCAAAACCACAAAACCTAAAGCCAGTCATTTCTCCCTGTTTTCTCAAGCTATCTTTGGATTTCTTGGGGGCTTGCCCTGAAAGCCTCATTGTGTGAGCAATAAATCTTTTCATACCTTCTTAAATGACGTAAGTATCATCAGTCTTAGCATCTGAATCAAATTTTGGAGTAGGTGTGAGGAGGTTTACTAATTACTGATTCTAAGAGAAAACTCCCACTTTGTGGAGGCTAGAAAATGTCATCACTATTCCAACCACCAGAAACAGGAGTCCATGTGCTATACTGACTGCATTCTGAGCTACTACTTATGTCCGTCATCCACTGATTACCAATTTTTCTGAGTCAAGTGAGACATTACCCATTCATACACAACTTATGTCAAACAAATTATTACATATACTTAGGCATCCATGGACCAAAATAATATTGGATACATTGTAAGCCTGTACCCCACACCTCAAGAAAGCTGCCCAGGGCAGATGGAGTCTTGGCTGCATATTTCCTATTTTTCACTACTCTGAGGAATCCCAAAAGGCAGTCTACCCTAGGTTGTATACATCGGGCAATGTGACATACTGAGCTTTGAGGAATATCCTGCTTCTAGGAGACAGAAGAATAAAGCTTGGACTATCGTGGGAAGTTTCTCCCTAACTCAAGATGTTACATCCATAGGAGAGATAGGAAAAAGGCCTGGGTTGTTGCCTACAATTTGTTTGTATCTCAGGATATTACATCTCCAGCACATTCTACAGTTATTGTTGAGGACCATAAGGAAGTAAAAGGGAAGAACTGCATTGGTTCAAAGCCACCAGGAGAACTGCCCTGCAATAGGATTCCAGTTCTGCAGGGTAACCAATACAGTTAGCTAATATAATATATGTGAGAAGTCTTTAAGAATATAGTCTATTTTCTGTTTCCAGGTATAAGATTATATGGACCATGTGAAGATGATAACATTTGCCTGACATCGTGTTCTGACAAATCCTCCCATTGAACAAAATACTTTCGCTTAGCAAAGTAATACTTAGCAAAGGGAAAGTGTATGACTGCCCCAAATGGAAAAGTACTCAAGAGATATTTTCAAACCACAAAAATTGGCCTATTTGGGGTTGTAGTCCCGACATTTTTAAGTGCTATATAATTAGTAATAATTATAGTAATAAACCTGTTCCTAATATCTTCATTTCTTGAATAGAAAATATGTCTTACAACACGATGATGATTCAGGGCATACTATTCTTGTTCCTTGCTCATTAGATCACCATGAATGAGACAATTATAAAAAATGATGATTCTTTTTAATTTAAATTTATTTAAATTTAGTTTAGAGATTGGATTCTGCTCCGTCACCCAACCTAGAAAGCAGTGGAGTGATCACAGATCACTGTGGCCTCAAACTGCTGGGCTCAAGTGATCCTCCCACCACAGCCTCCTGAGGAGCTGGGATTACAGGCGCATGCCTGTAGATTTTACAGAGATGATGTCTCGCTATGTTACCCAGGCTGGTCTCAAACTCTTGTCCTCAAGCAATCCTCTTGCCTCGGTTTCCCAAAACACTGTAATTAAAACTGTGAGTCACCTTAACAGCCTGATAATTCCTGAAACCTGAACATTATTTTTATTTTATTCATCCAGTAGTCATCCAGCTCCATGTGGAAATATAATGCTACGAGCAACACCTAAGAACTGAAAACAATTTGGATTGTGTTTTTTACATATCAAATGGTTTGCTTTAAGTGGAATAAATGAAAATTAACATTTATGTATACTAGAAAATAAATTTAAAAATATATTAAATTCCCAAGATATTAAAAATTGTTTATAATAATGATTATATATACATCTATAATATTTCAAATGTATTAACTTTGAGATGAAGGATGCATTTTAAGCTTCTTGGTTTTAGTAGAAGATTAGCTTATGATTTATGGAATGTTAATTGAGAAACTACTCAAATGACTTTGTCACAATAACAGAAATTAGAATAAATATTACTAAAATTATTCACTACTAGAAGGTTTAGTTCAGGACAAAAACAAGGTAGTGACTATTTTGATAGCATAAATGACATGCCATGACATTATTCTAACCTATATTTGTTACCTCAATGAAAAATTATATTTAATATGACTCATTCTTCTCGTGGTAAAATTGTGATTAAACTTTATTGAAGTCAATAATATGTTTTTTGAAAAGAAACATATAAAATGCATGATAAATAATTCAAAATAATGATCTTAAGAAAGCTAAATAAGGTTCAAGGAAACACAGAGAGAAAATACAAAGAAATTACTTCATGATCTGAATGAGAACTCAACCAATTTGGTTTTGTTCAGATATCATAAAAAACAACCAAATTGAAATTATGGAATAAAATAATTTAAGGAATTAAATATAATTACAACTAAGAGCTTCAATAATAGACTGGATCAAGCAGAATAATTTATAAATTTAAGTACGGATTTTTTGAAATAACCCAGTCAGACAAATAAATATAAGATGAATGCCCATGTGACATGGAATAACATTTAGTGAGCAAACTGTTGCATTTTAGGAGCTCCAGAAGGATAAAGGTGGGAAAAGCCATAGAAAACCTATTTATTACTAATAAAATAATAGCTGAAAAATGCCTAAGTCTTGGGATAGAAATAAAAATTTTGATATAGGGAGCTCAATGTTCCCAAAGTAAATGCAACCCAAAAAGATTATATTTGAGGCACATTATACTCAAACTGTCAAAAGTCAAAGAGAAAGAGATAATTCTAAATACAGAGAGAAAATCATCAAGTCACCATAAAGGAAACTCTATAAGGCTACCAGAAAATTTCTCAGCAGAACCCATATAAACCAGGAGAAAACAGTGTGATATATTAAATGTGCTGAAAGAAAACAAAAACCATCATCTGAGAATATTATACCAGCAAACTTATTTTTCAAAAATAAAAGAGAAATAAAGTCTTTCCCAGACAAGCAAAATCCAAGAAAAGTCCACCACTAGGCTAACCCTTCAAGAAATGTTTAGGAGTGTCCCATATCTGGAAGCAAAATGTTTATATGTGCCATGATAAAAACATACAAAAGTATAAAACTCACTGGTAGATCATATACGCAAATAATAAAGAGAAAGGAATCAAACATTACCACTACTAAAAACCATCAAACCATAAAGATAAATAATAAAAGGCAAGGAAATAATGAATATATAAAACAATCAGAACACAATTAACAAAATAACAGGAGTAACTCTCTACCTATCAATAACGACCTGGAGTACAAATGGTGTAAATTCCCCAATTAAAAGATATGTCCTGGCTGAATGAATTCTTTTTTTAAAAAAGCAAAATGCAGTTTTAGACCACCTATGAAAAACTGACTTCACCTGTGAAGACACAGAATAAAATTGAAGAAATTAGAAAAATGAGATTTTACACGAATGCAATTCGAAAGCATACAGGAGTAACAATACTTATATCAGACAAAATAGACTGTATTGGGAAAACATAAAGAGACAAGGTTATTACATAATAAGAGGACCAAAACTGTAAAAGGATATAACAATTATAAACATATATGCACACAATAATGGGGGCACTAATATATGAAACAAATATTAGAGGTAAAAAGAGAGATACAATAATACAATAGTAGCTGGGGACTACAGCACTTTATTTTCAAACTGGAAAGATCAATGTAGAAAAAAAAATTAACATAGAACCATCAGACTTAAATTACTTTAAAGACCAATGTCACCAATGAAAGAGTAACCCAAAAGCATGATATTGGTATAAAAAGAGATATGTAGACAAATGAAACATTTCATTCAATAGGTACAGCATACACATTTTTTCTGATCAGCATGTAGAACATTCTCCAGGAAAGACCATATGCCAGGCCACAAAACCAATCTGAATGAAAATTTTAAAATATGAAAATTATATCAAGTATCTTCTCAGATCACAGTAAAATAAAACTAGAAATCAATAACAAGCAGAGCTTTGAAAACCATACAAATACATAAAAATTAAACAATATGCTCCTAAACAACCAATGGATCAATAAAAAAAAGAAGAAAATTTAAAAATGAGGCATAGAAGAAAAAATATCTTGACACAAAAAACAGATTTACAGCTAACATCATACTGAATGAGACAGATGAAAACATTTTCTCTAATAACTGGAACAAGACAAGGATGCCTACTTTCACCAATTTTATTCACCATTTTACTGTAAATTCTAGCCATGGCAATTAACAACAGAAACAATGGGCATTCATAATGGTAAAGAGGAAGTCAAATTGTCCTTCTTTGATGATCTTGTAGATAGAAAAACCTAAAGACTCTGCCAAAAAAACTCTTAGAACTGATAAACAAATTCAGTAATTTTGTAGAATACAAAATCAACATAGAAAACCAACGATGTTTCTATCCACCAATAACAAACTGAGAAATAAATCAAGAAACTGTGAAGGGAAAATATCTTGGGCTCCCAAAATTACCCAGCTAAAGGGAAAATTCAGCCTGGGAACTGCTTAGGGTAAATCTGCCTTCCATTCTATTCAAAGTTATCCCTCTGCTCACTGAGATAAATGTACATCTGATTGCCTCCTTTGGAAAGGCTAATCAGAAACTTGAAACAATGCCACCATTTGTCTCTCACCTGTCTGTGACCTGGAAGTTCCCCCCAGCTTTGAGTCTTCCTGTCTACGCTTTGAGTTGTCCTGTCTTTCCAGACCAAACCAATGGAATTCTTACACATATTGATTGATGTCTCATTTCTTCCTAAAATGTATAAAACCAAGCTGTGCCCCGACAATCTTGGGCATATGTCATCAGGACTTCCTGAGGCTGTGTCACAGATGCGCGTCCTCAACCTTGGCAAAATAAACATTTTAAATTAACTGAGACCAGTCTCAGATTTTCTGGGTCCACAAAAGCAAGACCATTTTCTATAGTTACAAAGAAGTAAAATATATAGGAATAAATTTAATTAAGAAGGTGAAATATCTCTACCATGAAAACTACAAAACACTGATGAAAGAAATTGTAAATGGAATAAACAAATGGAAAGACATCCCATGTTCCTGAATTGGAAGACTTAATATTGCTAAAATAGCCATGCTACTGAGAGTAATCTATAAATCCAATGCAATTCCTACCAAAATACCAATAACACTCCTTATAGAAATAGAGAAAACAATCTTAAAATTCGTTTAGAACCACAAAAGACCTTGAATAGCCAAAGCAATACTGAGGAAAAAAAAAAAGTCTGGATGAATCACCCACCTGACCTAACTTCAGAATATACTACAAAGCAAGAGTAACCCAAAAGCATGATATTGGTATAAAAACAGATATGTAGACAAATGAAACAAAATTGAAAACCCAGAAGAATGTCATGTACAGTCAACTGCTTTTTTATAAAAGTGCTAAGGACACAAAATGGGGAAAAGACACCCTCTTAATTAACTGGTGCTGAGAAAACTGGATATCCATATGCAGGAGAATGAAACTAGAGGCCTATCTCTCACCAAATAAAAAAAATCAACTCAAAATGGATAAGAATGGAAACTATGAAACTACAAGATGAAAACAGAAGGGAAATGCTTTAGGACAATGCTTGCGGAAAATATTTTTATGAGTAAGACTACAGAAGCAAAGGCAACAAAAACAAAAATAGACAAACGGACTGTATCAAACTGAAAGCTTCTGCATGACAAAGGAAACAATCGACAGGATGAAGAGACAACCTATAGAATGGGAGAAAATATTTGCAAATTATTAGGTTATCAAGGCACTAATATCCAGAGAAATTAGTGGAACTCAAATAACTCGACAGGAAACAAACTAATATCTGATTAAATAAATAAGCAAATAATCTGGATAGATATTTATTAAAAGAAGACATACAAATGGCCAACAAGTAAATGAAAAAATGTTCACCATCACTAATCAGGAGGGAAATGTAAATCAAAATTACAATAAGATTATCATCTCACCCCAGGTAGAATGGCTATTATCAAAAAGACAAACAAAAAAACAAAAACAAAACAAAACAAAACAAAAAACAGATGCTATGAAGGTTGCAGAGAAAACACTTAACACATTTGGTGGGAATGTAAGTATAGCCATTATGGAAAACATTTTGGAAGTTTCTCAAAAGTCTAAAATTATTAATAGGACTTTTATATAATCTAGCAATCCCATTATTGGACATTTATAGAAGGAGAAGTAAATCAGTTTATTGAAGAGATATTAGCACTCTCATGTTTACTGCAGCACTATTCACAATAGCCAAGATAAGGAATCAAGCTGAAGGGTAATCAACACATGAATTGATATAGAAAATGTGGTATATATACACAATGGAATATTATTTAACCATAAGACAATTGACTCATGTCATGAATGGCAGCATGTATAAACCTGATGGACATTATATTAAATGAAATGTCAGACACTAAAAGAGAAATTCCTCAACTTCTCACTCAAATGTGAGATGTTAAAAAAAAAGAGCTCATAGAAGTAGAGAATAGAATTATGATTATTACAGCCTAGGAAGGTAGAAGGGAGGAGAGGATAGAGGTTGGTTAGTGGATTCAGCTAGATGGGAAGAATTAGTCCTAGTGTTCTATAGCACTGCAGGGTGAATACAGTTAACAATAATTTATTGTATGTGTTCAAAAAGTTAGAAGAGAGAATTTTAATGTTCCCAATGCAAAGAAATGATCAATGTTTGGGGATGGATATCCTGATTAACCTTATTTGATCATTACACAGCATGTACATGTATTGAAATATGCTGTAGCCCCCAAATATATACAGTCATTACATGTCTACTAAAAATAAATTTAGAAATATATAAAAAATAAAAAAGTTTTTGATCATTCATTGCCTACTTATAGATTTAGTAAACCAATAATAAACTTGCCAGAGTCATGTGTAGCTTCATCTTGGTCATTACCTAAAGAGTGCAATACTAAAATACACTAAAATCATTTTAAAAGATGTTAAATGACGAGTTAATGGGTGCAGCACACCAGCATGGCATGTGTATACATATGTAACTAACCTGCACATTGTGCATATGTACCCTAAAACTTAAAGTATAATAATAATTAAAAAGAAAAAAGAAAAAAACCTTGGCAGGGCATTTTAAGCGGAAAGCAGTTGATTTATTTTATTTATTTTTTTTACCATATTACAGTTTTTAGCATATCAAAAAAAAAGATGTTAAGAAAACAAACATCCAAAACTAGACCTTATGGGATGTGTGATGTTAATCTTTATTTTTATCTCTGTGTAGTTTTGCATTTTGCAAAGTCCCTTTATAAATCTTGATCCAGAGAATACTTACAATCCTCTAATTTGAGTAAGGGAGGAGGTACCTGAATCAGTATTCTAACTTAATGAAGGATGACTTGCCTAAACTTCACACACAGCTAGTATGTGATGGGTCTAGATCTAATACCAGGTCCATCTGAGTTCAAGTGAATTGCACTTTATAATGAACCACAATGTATAGATTTATCTATTTGGGGAATTGAAAGGCAATATCTATGAGACTCTGTCTCATTGATCTGTCTTATAAGATCTGTAAAGATCCCTCAGCCTCTTCCACAACACCAAAATGCCCCCAAAAGCATGAAGCACAAATAATAGAATGATCAAATTAAACCAATATGAGCACATTAGAATATACAGGGATAATTTTGTTTCTATAGGAAATTCTGTGTTTTCAATGATGCAGAATAAAATTTCCATAGACTTTGCTGGCATTAGTAAAATTTTCCACTTAGAAGTTGGAATGCATAACACGTTGATCAAAATTATGCATTCATTTATTTATTCATTCATTCTTGCATTTATTCATTTAATAAATATTGAATGAAAACTACTCATATATGGGACATTATGAAGGTATATAAAGATAAAAATGGTATAGATCTTGCTCTCTAAGGAACTGAATTACACAGAAAATAAGCAAGCAATAAAAAATATTTACAATTTAAATGTTTTTGGCAGTTTCTTAAAAAGTGGAATATAAATTTACCATATTACCCGACAATTCAACTTCTAGGTATCTGTCTAAGGGAAATGAAAACATAAGTTCACACTTGCATAAGTATCTTAATAGCAGCATTGTTCACAGTAGCAAAAAATGTAGAAGTAATAAAAATGTTCATTAACTGGTAAGTGAATAAACAAGATGTGAAATATTCAAAAAACGTTTACAACCAATACATTCTTTTAGAAACATATTTGTTCTAATTGTTATAATGGTACCATCAATGTAGGAAAATTATTAATTTTCTAGTTTTATATACAGTAAAAACTGAGACTCTTACAAAATGGGTCCCACGTAAGACCAAATAGACAGTGGCAGAGTTGAGAATACCAACACTTTTTTTTTTTTTTTTGATAGGGTCTTGCTCTGTCACCCAGGCTGGAGTGCAGTGGTGAGATCATGGCTCACTACAGCCTTCAACTCCTGGGCTCATATGATCCACCTTCCTCAGCCTTCCAAGTGGCCGGGACTACAGTAGGTGCATACCACCATACCGGGCTCATTTTTTGTTGTTGTTTTTATTTTTTGTATAGACATGTTCTCACTATGTCTCCCAGGCTGGTCTTGAACTCCTGAGCTCAAGCAGTTCTCCCCCTTCGTCCTCCCAAAGTGCCGGTATTACAGGTGTGACTCACTATGTCTGGCCCCAACACAATTTTTCAATACCAAAAATTTTGACATTATACCATACAGTTTTACCTAAACAATATACATAAGGACCTCAGTCACTTGCAAAGTGATAAATTCTCCCTCTCCCTAATTAAGCTATACTGATCAGGTTATCTGTTAATTCAGACAAAACAGATTTGGTAGAAATGAAATATATTTAATGACTTTACTGTACATGATTTTGTTTATAGTTACAGATTCAACATATTAATTCCTTATTTCATTTTATTGCCATCTATAAATAAGGCCTTAAATATTTAAGTGAACAATAGCTAGAAATGTAGTTAAGTCACCATATGGATGCCAACTCATTTCTCTTCTTGTCAGCACTGGATTAAACACCAAAGTAATGTATTATTCATAGCTTAAGGGAAAATCCTGTACTGCTGTAACTTTTAGCAGTGTTTCTATTAACCAGCTAGCTGCTCTGTGGGATAACATTATGTACAAACTCAACACCGTCACACCTCCCCTGACACATTTTTTATTTTTAAGATAATGAGATCATATTTTAAAAAAGCAAATATGCTCTAAGAAGGAATTTACTGGTTTTTCAAGAACATAATGGTTGATTTCATAAAGTAGGCACAGAAAACATTCAATGAAAATTTTATTTCATGAAATTTTTAGTTATATGGACTTAATTTCCAGTAAAATATGTTTAATATGTTATTATCAAGTTTAATATACAACATCATTGTGTATATTAATCTATCTAGTTAGTATAAGAACTATGCCATGATTTAGGTACTAGCAAAGTAACTTTCAGTAATAATAAATGGCTTCCCATATTTACAGAAATAATTATAATCACACTAGTAAAATGGTGTCACAATTTCTGAGGACCTATGCCACACGTCATTAAGTGCTGGAGGCGTCTCCAAGAGGCATTGTAAAGAGCTGTCAAACTGTTTTTAGTGATTCCTGACAATAGAGCCATAGATAAATTAGCAAAGCTCTTTCTAGGTATCTTTTCTCCTCTCCTTTCTGTCCCTTACTCTCTAGGATCTAAGCTTCCTTCCTACTATCCTCAGTTTTTCTTTCCTTCATTACCAGGTTACTTTTTCGACAGGCTACTCTATGGAAACTGAAAATTTCTGCTTTAGTACTATTCCAAATGTATTTCTATTCATACCACTCTTCCTCTTTCAATCAAAACCTGTATCTGTACACAGTTATTTGCCTTATTACTGATTTAATTTTTTAAAGCTGAGTTGGGTATCTAATCCCAGGTGCTAAATACTCTGCTTGGCACCAAGGGAAAAACAAACAAATAAAAACCAGAAAAGTCATATGGATTAGAGACTAAGAAATACAGTATATAATTAATTGAACAAATATACTCAATTATTATTTGATAAGTTTATAATGAGTGTCAGGATCCTCTACAGGGGAATAAATGATTCATGTTATTTGATTAAGTGAATGTATCCAAACCAGGTTTTGTAAAACTAAATAAAATCTTTATTTAATGGATAAAGCATTACCACTTCCTGCCCCTACTCAGCATCTTTAGTATTTAACGATTATTTTTCAGTTATTCGTTTACACGCTTATCAAGATTCCTGTGGGCCAGACACAGTAGTGCCTGGGTACTGACACTTATTAGTGAATAAGTTGCTTTTACTCTATGATAAAAATGCTAAGTTGTATTTTTAGGTGGTTCTATAGGCATGTTGATTTAAAAGTGTGTTAATCCCAAGAGATAATCTCTGAATAATTTGTACTTTATAGTAAAACCTCCCAAGTTGTTTGGCTACAGTTATTCAACACAATCCAGACAACATGAGAAAACAAAACAAAGCATGTATTTCTGAGAATTTAAAGACGTACTAATATAATATTTCTTTTAAGCAGATACATTCAATACTTGGTCCACTATCACTTAAATACATCTTATAATTGTTTTCTAGTAAGGATCAGAAGATGATTATATTGAATAACATTTCCTTCAGATGTTTTCTTTGATCACACACTATTTTTTATTTTGTTTTGAGTTCACTGTAGGTCTGTTCTCTGCTTATGAAACCAAAACAATAATAGCAATTGAAAGTAGAATGAAACCAAGCACACTATAATAAAATGCAAAAATGTTGCGAATTTGAATTATGAAATTACAGAGGGTTTTTGTTTTCATAGTGTAACACCTTTGAATATAAAGCATTTTTTATGATGGATGAAACAAGAGTCTCGCAGTTAACCCTCAAGTAAATATATAATTTCATGAATTATTTCCTACAATGAGTATTTACCTGAGTACACACCAGCACTAAAATCTAGTCTAGGTTTGGGGGCTATCTACATGAATAAAACAGGGAAAATTCTTCTTGCCTTCAATGTTCATCTCTAGAAAGGAAAAAAGAAATAGGAGATTTAATTAAAGCATTATATAGTGTTCATTCAGTAACAGGTGCTATGAGAACAAAATGCAAGAAAGGGAAGTGGGGACTAGGGAAAGACTAGTCCCAACTATTCTTCTGCAATTTTTAAATAAAATTCTCAGGGTGAGTGCCATCAGTAAAGAATCAAGAAAGCAAGGGAGACACTCAGTGGATATGCGGTAAGAATGTCCCATAAGGAGAGATCAACAAATGCAAAGCCACCGAAAGGGGTCATGCTTTCATGTCCGAGGCCCAACAAGGAGGCCAGCCTGACCAGATTGGAGCAAGCAAGTAGGTGATGAGCTTAGAGAGGTGATGGGGGGGGACATTTATTCTAAGGTGCCTGTAGGCATTTCACAGATATTTCTTGTTTCTTAATGACATGAAAAGGTATTAGAAAGTCGGAGCAGAGAAATTGCACGAGTGGTTTTAATTTTCAATTAGAATCAGTCTGGATGCTATAAGGGAAGCCATAGCAGAATGAGACAGACCAGGTGGAAGATCATTGACGTATTCTAGGTCAGAAAAGGTTGTAGCCAAGGAAAAGGTGAGCAGTGAGGGGGTAAGGGAGGTGTGTCTGTATAGAAAAGACTACAGGATATACTGGTAGTCTTTTCTAGATGGGGTGGAGTTTCAAAGAATGAGAAGACTCAGGAAGGACTCCAGTGTGTTTTGGCCTAAGCAATCGCAAGGCTGGAATTACCTTTTTTGTGAAATGAGGAAAAGTGCAAAGGAATAAATTTAGAATGTGTGTGTAGATCAGGAGCTTCCCAATAACCATACTCCTTTTGAGATGTCTAATAGAACTCTTAGTTGGAGAGGTCAAGTGGGCATTTGCATATACAGGTCAGGAGTTTAAAGAAATTACTGGCTTCGTGAAAGAATGTGGAGAGGGCAGTGGGGGTTATTGAGGTCCCACCCATCTCACCTTATATTTACTATTTCTTTGCATATTCTCTCAATTTTAGATTATCATCCTTTACCAAAGAGCTCTCACTTAATGACAGATCAGGGTGGGTAAATATTCCTGTTTCTTTCATCTTTCTGATGGGACAATCTAAGCATATGTTTTTCTCCAATTATCCTGGATCCCTAGAAGGATTTGAAGCCCTATTTTTCACTGGTAACTAGTTTCTTAACAAACTTATTTTTAATCTTTAGTTTCCTCACTAACTTTCCTATTCGTATAATGGTATTTTTGTAGGTTTATTCCCCCCACTCTCTGCCAAATAAACTACTTACACTTGAATCTTGATCTCAATATCTCTTTCTTAAAGAGCCTATATTAATAAAGGTAGTGTGTAATGTATAGATGGTATTTAATGCCAGGAGTCTGGATGAAAATATTAATCAATAAATGTAGGCAAAATGTTGGACATGTTGGCTTGTGCCTGGTCATCCCAGCTACTTGGAAGTCAGGCAAGAGAATCCCTTGAGCTCAGGCGTTTGAGACCAGCCTTGGCAACATAGTGAATCCCTGTCTCTAAAAAAAAAAAAAATTAAATAAATTAAATAAATATAGACAAAAAAATAAATAACCCAATGTGTGAACTTTAAGAAACTCTGAAATTAAATAATTGGATAGATAAGGAAGAATTAACAAAGGAGAGGAAAAACCTGTGTCTGGCGATAAAGAAATTGCATCAGGAAACCATAAGATACTGCAATCCAAGCAAAGAAAATACCTCAATGTGAATGGACTAGTCAGCACCGAGGAAGGTGGCTGGTAAGTCAAGGCCTGTTAGTTATTGGATTTAACAGTGTGAGTATTGATGACAATCAGACTTCTTAGCATCTTTTGGGCAAAATACAGAAATTTAGAGAGTTCTGGAGAAAATAGGGGGAGGAAATTAAAAACAGGAAATAAAAACAATTTTCTTTCAATTTTTATTATTCTTTAAGTTCTAGGGTACATGTGCACAATGTGCAGGTTTGTTGCATAGCTATACATGTGCCATGCTGGTTTGCTGCACCCATTAACTCATCGTTTATATTAGGTATTTCTCCTAATGCTCTCCCTCCCCCTGCCCCCCACCCCATGACAGGCCCCAGTGTGTGATGTTCCCCACCTTGTGTCCAAGTGTTCTCATTGTTCAATTTCCAGCTATGAGTGAGAACACGCGGTGTTTGGTTTTCTGTCCTTGTGATGGTTTGCTCAGAATGATGGTTCCCAGCTTCATCCATGTCCCTGCAAAGGACATGAACTCATCCTTTTTATGGCTTCATAGTATTCCGTGGTGTATATGTGCCACGTTTTCTTAATCCAGTCTATCATTGATGGACATTTGGGTTGGTTCCAAGTCTTTGCTATTGTGAATAGTGCCGCAGTAAACATATGTGTGCATGTGTCTTTATAGTAGTATGATTTATAATCCTTTGGGTATATACCCAGTAATGGGATCGCTTGGTCAAATGGTATTTCTAGCTCTAGATCCTTGAGGAATAGCCACACTGTCTTCCACAGTGGTTGAACTAGTTTACACTCCCACCAACAGTGTAAAAGCATTCCTACTTCTCCACATCCTCTCCAGCATCTGTTGTTTCCTGACTTTTTAATGATTGCCATTCTAACTGAAATGAGATGGTATCTCATTGTGGTTTTGATTTGCATTTCTCTGATGACCAGTGATGATGAGCATTTTTTCATGTGTCTGTTGGCTGCATAAATGTTTTCTTTTGAGAAGTGTCTGTTCATATCCTTTGCCCACTTTTTGATGGAGTTTTTTATTTTTTATTTTTGTAAATTTGTTTAAGTTCTTTGTAGATTCTGGATATTAGTCCTTTGTCAGATGGGTAGATTACAAAAATTTTCTCCCATTGTGTAGGGTGCCTGTTCACTCTGATGGTAGTTTCTTTTGCTGTGCAGAAGCTCTTTAGTTTAATTCCATCCCATATGTCTATTTTGGCTTTTGTTGCCATTGCTTTTGGTGATAAAAACAATTTTTTAAGAAGTTTCTCTGCTAAAGGGAGCAAAGAAACAAAGTGATAGCTATAGGGGTAGTGGACACAAGAGAGGCTATTTTTAATATAAGACAGTCATATTATGATTTTATGCTTATATAAACAAATAGGTCCAAAGGAAAATATTCATAATGAAAGATGGATCACCCTGGCAATATTCTTCAGCAGTTCAGGTAGCACAAGGCCCACTGTCCAGGTAAATAAGTTAACCTTAGATAGGAATAGCATATCTATTATTGTAACAGAGGCAAAGACAAATACATGGGTATAGATGTTCATTGATGGGTAGACTAATGGCAACTTCAAAATATTCTCTTCTGAACTCACATTATTTGGAGGCCTCTTGTTAAAGATGGAAAAAATTATGACATTTCCAAATAAAAAGAGTTTAATTTCTTCCTTTTTAAACTGAATGCCTTTTATCTCTTTTTTTGGCCAAATGATGAAGCTTGAACTTCTGGTACTATGTTGAATAAGAGTGGTGAAGTGAACGTACAGAAATACCTCATAGATAATACAGATTCAGTTCCAGACCACTGCGGTAACACAAATTTTCTGGTTTCCCGGTGCATATAACAGTTATATTTACACTCTATGGTAGCATTTTAAGTATGCAGTAGCAGTATGTGTCAAAAAACAATGTATATACCTTAAGTTAAAAATATTTTAATGCTGAAAAGTGCTAATGATCCTTTGAACCTTCACCAAGTCATCATTTTTTTGCTGGTGGAGGCTGTTGACTTGATGTTGAGTGCTGCTGACTGATAAGGGTGGTAGTTGACAACGGTTGGGTGTCTGTGGCAATTTCTTAAAACAAGACAATGATGAAGTTTGCACATTGATTGACTCTTCCTTTCACAAAAGATTTCTCTGTAGCATTTGATGATATTTGATAGCATTTTACACACAGTAAAACTTCTGTCAAAATTGAAGTCAGTCTTCTCCATCTCTGCTGTTGCTTTATCAACTAATTTTATATGATATTCTAAATTTTTTGTTCTTATTTCAACAATGTTTACAGCATCTTCACCAGGGGTAGTTTCTATCTCAAGAAACTACTTTCTTTCATCATCCCTAAGTAGCACCTCCTCATCTGTTCAAGTTTTACCATAAGATTACAGTACTTCAATCATATCTTCAGAATCCATTTCTAAGCCTTGGTCTCTTGCTATTTCCACTATATCTGTAGTTACTTCCTTCACTGAAGGCTTATATTCTTCAAAAGTCATTCATGAGGGTTAGAATCAACTTATTCCAAATTTCTGTTAATGTTGATAGTTTGCCCTCCTTCCAAGAATCATGAATGTTCCTAATGGCATCTAGAATGGTGAATCCTATCCAGAAGGTTTTCAATTCACTTTGCTCAGATTCATCAGAAGAATCACTGTCTATGGGAACTATAGCCTTACAAAATGTATTTCTTAAATAATGAGACTTGAAAGTCAAAATTACTCTTTGATCCACAGGCTGCAGACTGGGTGTTGTGTTAGCAGGCATGTAAACAACATTAATCTCCATGTACATCTTCAGCAGAGCTCTTGGATGACTGGGCACATTGTCAATGAGCAGTAATATTTTGAAAGGATTTTTTTTCTGAGCAGTAGGTCTCATCAGTGGAGTTAAAATATTCCATAAGTCAAACTTTAAGCAAATATCCTGTCATCTAGGCTTTATTGTTCCATTTATAAAGCACAGGTGAAGTAGATTTTGCATGATTCTTAAGAAAACCTAGGATTTTCAGGATAATAACTGAACATTGAGTTCAACTTAAAGTCAGCAACTGCAATATCCCCTAACAAGAGAGTCAGCCTGGTCTTTTTAAAGCTTTGAAGCCAGGTCTTGACTTCTCCTCGGTAGCTTGGAAAGTCCTAGATGGCATCTTTTTCCAATAGAAGGCAGTTTTGTCTATATTGAAAACCTGTTTAGTGTCATCAACTTCATTATTATCTCAGCTTGATTTTTCTGAATAACTTGTTCCAGCTTCCACATTACCACTTGCTTCTCCAACTTGCACTTTTATGTTAAGGAATGGCTTCTTTCCTTAAACCCCATGAACCAGCATCTGCCAGCTTCAGTCTTTTCTTTTGTAGATCCTTCATTTCTCTCAGCCTTCATAACATTGAAGAGAGTTAGGGCCTTACTCTGGATTAGGCTTTAGCTTAAGGAAATGCTATAGCTAGTTCGATCTTTCCTCCAGATCACTACAACTTTCTCAGTATCAGCAATAAGGCTATTTCCCTTTCTTATCATTCATGTTTCACTAGAATAGCACTTTTAATTTCTTTTGATAACTTTACCTTCACTTTGCCAACTCGTCTTTTTGCTACAAGAGGCTTACCCCTCAGCCTGTCTCAGCTTCAGACATGCACAAGCCTTCCTCATGAAGCTTAATCATTTCCAGTTTTTGATTTAAAGTGAGAGGTGTGTGACTCGTTCACCTGAATGCCTAGAGGACATTATAAGGTTACTAATTGGCCTGATTTCAATATTTTTGTGTCTCAGGGACTAGGGTGGCATGAGGAGAGGAGGAGAGAAGGGGGAATGCCCAGTTGATGGAGTAGTCAGTCCATACACAGAATTTACTACTTAAGTTCATTGTCCCTTATGGGCAAGATTTGTGGTGCTCCAAAACAGTTACAATAGTAACAGCAAAGTTCACTCATCATATATTACCATAACAGAAAAAATGATAATGAAAATTTTTGAAATATTGCTAGAATTACCAAATGAGACTCAGAGACACAAAGTGAGCCCGTGCAGTTGAAAAATATGGCACCGATGGACTTGTTCAACTCGGTTGCTACAAACCTTCTATTTGTATTTTTTTTTTTTTTTGAGATGGGAGTCCCACTGTGTCACCCAGGCTGGAGTGCAGTGGCGTGATCTCGGCTCACTGAAACCTCTGCCTTCTGGGTTTGAGCGATTCTCCTGCCTCATGCCTCAGCCTCCTGAGTAGCTGGGATTACAGGCACCTGCCACCATGCCACGCTCTTTTTTTTTTTTTTTTGTATTTTTATTAGAGACGGGGTTTCACTGTGTTAGCCAGGGTGGTCTCGATCTCCTGACCTCGTGATCTGCCCACCTTGGCTTCCCAAAGTGCTGGGATTACAGGTGTGAGCCACCACGCCCGGCCTTCGATTTGCATTTTTAAAAATCTGTGAAGTGCGAAGAAAAGAAGTTCAACAAAACAAAGTATGCCTGTATCGTAGTTATATTCTAATGTTGTTTAGAGATATTTTTTATTAAGAGATGTGGTCTTACTATGTTGTACAAGCTGCAGTGTGGTAACTATTCGTAGACACACTCACAGTGCACTACATACTTGAACTCCTGGGCAAGAGATCCTCCTGCTTTAGCTTTCTCAGTAGCTGGCACTACATGTGCATACCTCTCCATCTGGCTTAGATATTTTATTTTTTATTCCTTTTTATATTTAGGTTTATTTTGTAGTTTTATTTCTGCATCTCTAATTTGAATTATTTGTTCCATTTTGGTTACAACTTGCAGTTTCTTGTTTTAAATCTTCAAAATTGATAATATAAATTTTATTCTGAGTATCATTTCAAATAAATCTTGTCGGTTTAGTTAATGCATATTATTTATATCCATATTATATTCTTGAAATCATTTGAATTAGTTATTGGTTTATTTCCATTCATTATGCTAGTTTCAATGATGTGGTTTAGCTTTACAAGTAAGGAGATTTGTTGCTTGTTTTTAATTTCAAGTTTAATTCATTTGTGATCAGAGTGTAAAATCATATACATATATATCACTTTATAGACTTTTATTGATATTTTATTGCAGTACATTTCTACTTAATTGTTGTCACTATTCACAGACACATTAAAATGAAGCAAATTAAATATTTTGAGTTGATTTTGAAATGTATATGCATTTATTCATCAAATTCTATGGAAATATATCACATATATTTGTGGAATATGAGTACGTGATGTACCTCATCAATTAGGTCATTTATACCTTGTCTATCATCCCATGTGATTGTCATATCATGAGAAAAGTAAACTAAAGTACTACTGTGCTTCTTTGAAGTTATCTCTTAATAATTCCAGTGTTTGATTTACTACTTTGGTGGCTATGTTTTTGGGTGAAGGCTATTTTTGAAAATCAATATCATGAAAATGGCCATACTGCCCAAAGTAATTTATAGGTTCAGTGCTATCCCCATCAAGCTCTCGTTGACTTTCTTCACAGAATTAGAAAAAGCTACTTTAAATTTCATAAGGAACCATAAAAGAGCCCACATAGCCAAGACAATCCTAAACAAAAAGAACAAAGCTGGAGGCATCATGCTACCTGACTTCAAACTATATTGCAAGGCTACAGTAACAAAAACAGAATGGTACTGGTACCAAAACAGATATATAGACCAATTGGACAGAACAGAGGTCTCAGAAATAATGCCACTCATCTACATCCACCTGATCTTTGACAAACCTGACAA